>NC_000009.12:40310000-40529470 GCF_000001405.40 Homo sapiens
GCATCAAACAGCCTGCGCTCTCATGTGTGACCAAGGAAATGACCTCAAGTTGGAACTTATATTTAAATGACAAGCAGAGCTCAAAAGTTTGGAACATTTGCAGCCTGGCCAAGTTGTCAAAGAGAAAAGCTGATTTTCAGGGGGAAAATTCATGAAGTCTCCAGAAATTTGCATAAAGTGGAGGCCAGTGCTAATAGCCAAGACAATTGTGGGGAAAAGCCTTGGAGGCATTTCAGAGATGTTTGCAGCAGCCCTTGCTGTCACAGGCCCTGGGACCTAGGAGAGAAGAATGGTTTGCTGGGCCAGCCCCGTGGCCCTGCTGCTGTGTGCAGCCTCAGGACACTGCTGCCTGCATCCCAGCAGCCCCAGCTCCTGCTCCGACCTTGGCTGAAAGATGCACAGGTACAGCTTGGGTCACTGCTTCAGAGGGTGCAAGCTATAGGCCTTGGTGGCTTCTACATAGTGTTAAGCCAGTGGGTGCACGGAGCACTAGTCTAGAGACTTGGGAGCCTCCATATAAATATATTTCGGAAGATGTATGGAAATGCCTGGTGTCCAGACAGAAGGCTGCCAAAAAAGCAGAGTCTCATGGGAAACCTCTACTTGGGCAGTGCAGAAGGAAAATATGAGGTTGGAGCCCCCACACTGGAGGCCACCATCGTGCCAACCCCAGGTTCATAGACCCATCAAAAGCTTCGTACCCTCCATGGGTTAAAAACTCCAGGCACTCAACAGCAGCACAGCCCATGAGGGCAGCTGCGGGGGCTGAACACTGCAAAGCCACAGGTGCAGAGCTGCCCAAGGCCTTGGGAGCCCAGCCCTCATGCCCTTGTGTCCTAGATGTGGGACAAGGATTTAAAAAGAATGATTTTGGAGCTGTAGGTTTGAATAACTGGCCTGCTGGGTTTTGGAATGTCATGGGAACCTGTAAGTCCCGTTTGTGTTTTGTTCTTCTCTCTGGCAAAAAATCTTCCTTTCGGGTGGAGGTTCTTACTCAATGCCTGGACAGTCATACCTTGGAGGTAATTAACTTGCTTTGTATTTCAGAGGCTCAGGGGCAGAAGGGATGGCAGTCTTGTCTCAGAAGAGACTTTGGGCTTTGGACATTTCAGTAAATGCTGGAATGAGCTAAGACATTGGGAAACTGTAGAGTAGGCATCATTGTATTTTGCAGTGTGAGAACAACATGAGATATGGGGGGTCAGGGTCAGAATAATACGATTTGGGTCTGCATCCCTACCAAACTCATTTGGAATTGTAATGGTGAATGTTAAACGTGGGGCCTGGTGTGAGGTGATTTATTCATGGAGAAGAGTGGGCGTTGGAGGTAGGGGTGTGGGGAGAATGGGGGAGATTATTTTGTGGGTGGGGGTAAAAGGTAAGGGTAGGGGGCAGATCCTTCACAAATGTTTAAACACTATCTCCTTAATGCCGCCTGTGTGATAGTGAGTTCTCCTGATGATATTTGCAGCTGTGGGATTGAGTGAATACTGTCCCGCTGAGTTTTGGACTTGTGTTGGGCCTGTGGGCCCATTTGTGCTATTTTTATGGGAAATTTCTTCCCTTTGGACTGAGAAAGCTTACCCAATGCCCATACCATCATTGTACCTGGAAAGAAAAGAACTCCATTTTAAATTCAGGGACTCATAGGCAGAAGAGACTGTAGCCTTGTCTCAGGAGAGACTTTGAATTTTTTTACATTTGGAATGCGTTAAGACTTTTGGAGATTTTTGAAAAGTCATGGTTGCATTTTGCTCTGTGATAAGGACATGAGATTCTGGGATATCAGGGTCAGAATAATATGGTTTGGCTGTGTGTCCCTATGAATCTCATGCGGAATCGTAATCCCTAATGTTGAAGCGGGTGACTTAATTATGGACGGGAGGTTGGTGGTGGTGGAAGGTAAAAGGGATGGGTAGGATTGGGAGGAGTGGGTCGGTAGTAGAGTGGTGGGAGGGTGGGTGGTAGTAGGAAGGAGGAGTAGCCTGCTGCAGAGTGAGGGACTCATGGAAAACCCTCTACTAGGGCAGTGCACCTGTGGTTTGCAGGGTTTAGCTCCTCAGCTGTTCTCATGCGCGGGACTGGTATTGAGGGCCTGTAGCTTTTCCTCACTGAGGGTGCCAGCTGTTGGTGGGTCTGTGAATCTGGGGTCTGGACGGTGGTAGCCCCCTATGTGGGGGCTCCAAGTCCATATTTTCCTTCTGCACTGCCCTAGTAGAGGTTTCCCAAGAACTCTGCATCTGCAGCAGGCTGCTGCCTGGAAACAGTGGGAGGTGGGTGTGGGAGGCATTTCCTTCACCAATGGTTAGGCAGCATGTGCTTGATGCTGTCTTCATGATAGTGAGTTTTCATGAGATCTGGTTGTATAATAGGGCATGACACCTTTTTCCTCTCTCATGCTTGCTCCTGCTCCTGGCATATGAGACATCTCATTGCCCCTTGACATTCTGGTGTGATTGGGAGGCTTCCTGAGTCCTCTGAGATGCAGAAACTAGTATGCCTCCTTACATCCTGCAGAATCATTAACAATTAAACTTCTTTTCTTTTTGATCATTGAGAGCATTTTTAATGCAAAGAAGATCTATTAGGTGTCTTCAAGGCCTTTTCCCCCATGTCTTGGCTATCAGTACTCAGCTTCTTTTCATTCAAGTCTCTGAATCCTCCTTGAATTTTCCCCCTGAAAATGGACTTGTCTTCCATACCACATTGCCAGGCTTTGACAAAGATAGGTGATAATGCAGGAACAGGTTCAGAAGAGGGTAGCAGACTGAGTTCAGGAGAGTTTGGAGGGCTTCCAAGACAAGAAATTGAGGGGAAATTTGGATCTTTGTAAAGAATTGTTAAATACTTGTGATCAGAAGGCTCACAGGAAAATAGACAGTAAAGATCAGACTTAGAAGGTCTCAGATGAAGATGAGGAACTTACTGGGAATAGGAGCCAAGGTTAGTTTTGTTTTGCTGTAGCAAAGAATGTGGCTGCACATTGACCCTGCCCTGGAGATATGTGAAACTTTGAACTTGAGGGTGATGACTTAGTGAGTATCTGGTGGAATGAACTTCTGGGCAGCAAAGCTCAAGAGGTGTCCTGTCTGCATGAAACAGCCCTTGCCCTTTTGTGTGACTGAGGAAATGACCTCTGGATGGGTCTTACATTAAATGAGTCACAACTCTTATATTAAATGAGAAACAGAACTCAAAAGTCTGGAAAACTTGCAGCCTTGCCAAGTGGTCAGAAAGAAAAGCCGATTTTCAGTGGGAAAATTCAAGAAGGCTTCAGGAATTTGCACGAAAAGGAGCCCGGTGCTAATAGCCAAGACAATAAGGAAAAGACCTTGAAGGCATTTCAGAGACCTTTGCAGCAGCCCTTGCTGTCACAGGCCCTGGGGCCTAGGAGAGAAGCATCGTTTCCTGGGCCAGTTCCATGAGCCCCCTCTATGTGCAGCCTCAGGACACTGCTGCCGGCATCCCTGCAGCTCCATTTCCAACTCCAGTCATGGCTGAAAGATGCACAGGTAGAGTTTGCATCCCTGCTTCAGGGGTGCAAGTTCCAAGCCTTGGTGTCTTCCACATAGTGTTAAGCCAGCGGCTGCACAGAGCACAAAACTAGAGGCTTGGGGGCCTGTGTCTAGACTCCAGAGTATGTACGGAAAAACCTGGGTGTTCAGGCAGAAGCTTTTCCAAGAGGCAGAGCCTCATGGCACACCTTTACCAGGGCAGTACAGAAGGAGAAAATGGGGTTGGAGTCCCTAAATATGGAGACACCATTCTCCAGACCTTAGATTCATAGATGCACCAACAGCTGGCACCCTTAGTGTGGAAAAGCCACAGGCACTCAACACAGCCCAGCCCATGAGGGCAGCTGTGGGGGATATATCATGCAAATCCACAGGTGCAGAGTTGCCCAAGGCCTTGGGAGCCCAGCCATCACATGCCTGTGCTCTAGATGTGAGATGTAGATTCAGAAAAGATGATTTGGAGCTGCAGGATTCAATGACTGGCCTGCTGGGTTTTTGACTTCATGGGGTCTGTAAGTCCTTGGACTTTTCAGTAAATGCTGGAATGAGTTAAGTCATTGGGGGACAGTAGAGAAGTCATCATTGTATTTTGCAGTGTGACAAGGATACAAGATTTGGGGACCAAAGGCCAGAATAATATGATTTGGTTCTGTGTCCCTACCAATACTCATGTGGAATCGTAATGGGGAATGTTAAAGTTGGAGCCTGGTGGAAGGTGACTTAATCATGGAGAAGAGTGGGGGTTGGAAGTAGGGGTTTGGGGAGAATGGGGGAGATTATTTTGTGGGTGGGGGTGAAAGATGAGGATAGGGGGGTGGATTCTTCACAAATGGTTAATCACTATCTCCTTAATGCTGTCTGCATGATAGTGAGTTCTCTTGATGATTATGGAGCTTAAAGATTGAGTGAATACTGTCCTGCTGGGTTTTGGACTTGCATTAGGCCTGTGGTCCCATTTGTGTTATTTTTATGGGAAATTTCTTCCCTTTGGATTGAGAAAGCTTACACAATGCCTGTACCATCATTGTACCTTGAAAGAAAAGAAATCCCTTTTAAATTCAGGGACTCATATGCAGAAGGGACAGTAGCCTTGTCTCAGGTGAGACTTTGAACTTTTTACATTTGGAATGAGTTAAGGCTGTTGGAACTTTTGAAAAGGCATGATTGTATTTTACTCTGTGATAAGGACATGAGATTCTGGGATAGCAGGGTCAGAATAATATGGTTTGGCTGTGTGTCCCTATGAAAATTCATGTGGAATTTTAATTCCAAATGTTGAAGTTGGGGCCTGGGGGAGATGATTTAATCATGGACTGGAAGGGGTTGGGGTGGAAGGAAAAGGGTTGGTTAGGGTGGGGAGGAGTAGGCTGGCAGTAGGGTGGTGGGAGGGTGGTGGGTGGGAGGAAGGGGGAGCAGCCTGCTGCAGAGGCAGAGGCTCATGGGAAACCCTCTACTAGGGCAATGCACCTGTGGCTTTGCAGGGTTTAGCCCCTGCCGCAGCTCTCATGGGCTGGGCTGGTGTTGAGTGCCTGTAGCTTTTCCACACAAGGTGTGAGCTGTTGGTGGGTCTATGAATCTGGGGTCTGGAGGTTGGTGGCCATCTGTGTGGGTGCTCCAAGCTCATATTTCCCTTCCGCACTTCCCTAGTAGAGTTTTCCAAGAGGCTCTGCCTCTGCCTCAGGCTTCTGCCTGGAAATAGTGGGAGTTGGGGGTAGGGGGCGAATCCTTCACCAGTGGTTAAGCACCATCTTTGTGATGCTGACCTTGTGATAGTGAGTTCTCATGAGATCTGGTTGTATAATAGGGTGTGGGACCTCTCTCCTCTCCCTGTCTTGCTCCTCCTCCTGCCACATGAATCATCTCATTGCCCCTTGACATTCTGGTATGACTGGGAGGCTTCCTGATTCCTCTTAGATGTAGAAGCCACTATACTTCCTTATAGCCTGCAGAATCATGAGCCAAGTAAACCTCTTCTTTATGATCATAGAGAAAATTAGTACTGCAAAGTGGGTCTATTAAATGTCTTCAAGGCCTTTTCCCTATTGTCTTGGTAGTGAGCACTCAGCTTCTTTTCATTCAAGTCTCTGAACCCTTCTTGAATTTTCCCCCTGAAAATGGACTTGTCTTCCCTTACTACATTGTCAGGCTGCAGCAAAGATAGCTGATAATGTAGAAGCAGGTTCAGAAGGGGGTAGCAGACAGAGTTCAGAGAGTTTGGAGGGCTTTGCAGACAAGAAGTTGAGGGAAAGTTTGGATCTTTGTAAAGAATTGTTACATACTTGTGACCAGAAGGCTCACAGGAAAATGGTGAGTGAAAGCCAGACTTAGAAGGTCTCAAATGAAAATGAGGAACTTACTGGGAACAGAAGCCAAAGTGACTTTTGTTTTGCCTTAACAAAGAATGTGGCTGCACGGTGACCCTGCCCTGGAGATCTGTGAAACTGAACTTGAGGGTGATGACTTACTGAGTATCTGGTGGAATGAACTGGGCAGCAAATCTCAAGAGGTGTCCTGTCCCCATGGAACAGCCTGTGCTCTTATGTGTGATGGAGGAAATAACCTCTGGATGGGACTTACATTAAATGAGTCCCGTCTCTCAGAACTCAAATTTAGGAAAATTTGGAGCCTGGCCAAGTGGTCAAAAAGAAAAGCTGATTTTCAGGGGGAAAATTGAGGAAGGCTTCAGAAACTTGCATGAAAAGGAGCCCGGTGCTAATAGACAAGATAATAGGGAAAAAGGCCTTGAAGGCATTTCAGAGACCTTTGCAGCAGCCCTTGCTATTGTGGGCCCTGGGGCCTAGGAGAGAAGCATGGTTTCCTTGGCCAGTTCCATGAGCCTCTTCTATGTGCAGCCTCAGAACACTGCTGCCTGCATCCCTGCAGCTCAAGCTCCAGCCATGGCTGAAAGATGCACAGGTACAGCTCAGGTCACTGCTTCAGAGGATGCAGGCTAGAAACCTTGGTAACATCCTCATAGTGTTAAGCCACTGGTGGACGGAGTGTGAGACTAGAGGCTTGGGAGCATCTCTATAGATTTTGGAAGATGTATGGAAATTCCTGGGTGTCCAGGCAAAACATCCCAAAAAGGCAGAGCCTTATATCAAACTTCTACTAGGGCAGTGCAGAAGGAAAATATGGGGTTGGAACTCCCACACTGGAGACCACCATCATGCAGACCCCAGATTCATAGACCCCCCCCCCAAAACTTGTTTCCTCAATGTGGAAAAGTCACAGGCACTCATCACCAGCCCAGCCCATGAGGGCACCCTTGGGGCATATACCCTGCAAAGCCACAGGTGCCAAGCTGCCCGAGGCCTTGGGAGCCCAGCCCTCACACCCCTGTGTCCTGGATGTGGGACAGGGTTTCAAAAAGGGTGATTTTGGAGCTGTAGGATTGAATGACTGGCCTTCTGGGTTTGGAGTTTCATGGGGCCAGTAAGTCCTATCTGTGTTTTGTTTTTTTTTCTGGCAAAATTCTTCCTTTTGGCTGGGAATGCTTACCCAATGCCTGTACAAGCATTGTACCTTGGAAGTAGTTAACTTGCTTTATATTTCAGAGGCTCATGGGCCTAAGGGACTGTAGCCTTGTGTCAGATGAGACTTTAGGCTTTGGACATTTGTATAAATGCTGGAATGATATAAGATTTTATGGGACTTTAGGGAAGGCATCATTGTATTTTGCAATGTGAGAAGGACATGAGATTTGGGGAGTGAGGGAAAGAATAATAAAATTCAGCTCTGTGTCCCTACCAAAACTCATGTGGAATTGTAATTGGAATGTTAAAGGTGGGGCCTGGTGGAAGATGATTTAATCACGGTGCAGAGTGGGGGTTGGAAGATGGGGGTGTAGGGAAAATGGGGGAATTATGGTGGGGGTGAGGGGTGAAAATTGGGGTGGGGGGTCAGATCCTTCACAAATCATTAAACACTATCTCCTTATTGCTGTCCTTGTGACGGTGAGTTCTTTTCATGATTTTAGAACTGTAAGATTAAATGGATACTGGCCTCCTGGGTTTTGGACTTGCATTGGGCCTGTGGTCCCATTTGTGTTATTTTCCTGGGAAATTTCTGCCCTTTGGATTGAAAAAGCTTACCCAATGCCTGTACCATTATTGTACCTTGAAAGAAAGAACATTCTTTTAAATTCAGGGACTCATAGGCAAAAGGTACTGTAGACTTGTCTCAGATGAGATGTTGAATTTTTTACATTTGAGTTATTGTTGGAATGAGTTAAGACTTTTGGAAAATTTTGAAAAGACATGAATATATTTTGCTCTGTGAGAAGGACAAGAGACTGCAGGGTATCAGGTCAGAATAATATGATTTGGCTGTGTTTCTTTACCAAAACTCATGTGAATTGTAATCCTTAATGTTGGAGGTGGGACCTGGCTGGAGGTGATTTAATCATGGATGGGAGGGGGACCGGGGATGGAAGGAAAGGGGTGGGTAGGGTGAGGAGTAGGTTGTTAGTAGGGTGGTGGGTACTAGGAGGGGGGAGTAACCTGCTTCAGAAGCAGAGGCTCATGGAAAGTCTCTACTAGGGCAGGGCACCTGTGGCTTTGCAGGGTGTAGCCCCCATGGCTGCTGTCATGGGCTGGGCTCGTGTGGAGTGCCTGTAGCTTTTCTGTTCTGAGAGTGCAAGCTGTTGGTGGGTCTATGAATCTGCAGTCTGGAGGATGGTGGCCTCCTGTATGTGGGCTCCAAGCCTACATTTTCCTTCTGCACTGCCCTGGTAGAGGTTCTCCAAGAGGCTCTGCCTCTGCAGGAGGCTTCTACGTGGAAACAGTGGGGGGTGGTGTGGGTGGATCCTTCACCAATGGTTAATCTTCTTGATGCTGATCTCCTGATACTGAGTTCTCATGAGATCTGGTTGTATAACAAGTGTGGCACCTCTTTCCTCTCTCTGTCTTCCTCCTACACCTGCCATATGGAACATCTCATTGTCGCTTGGCCTTCTGGTATGGTAGGAGACTTCCTGAGTCCTCCCAGAAGCAGAAGCCACTATGTTCCCTTTACAGCCTGCAGAACTGTGAGCCAATTAAACCTCTTTTTAAAATAATACTACAGAAAATTTGTACTGTAGAGTGGAGCTATGAAATGCCCTCAAGGTTTTTTTCCTGATTTTTTACTATTAACATTTGGCTTCTTTTATATGCAAATATCTGAAGCCTTCTTGAATTTTCCCCCTGAAAATGGACTTTTTTTCTTTTACCACACTGCCAGGCTGTCACAACGATAGCTGAAAGTGTAGAAGCAAGTTCAGAAGCAGGTTCAGAAGCTGGGTAACGACCGCAGGCTGCACAGTTTGGAGGGCTTGGAAGAAGACAGAAAGATGAATGAAAGTTTTGACTATTGTAGAGACGTGTTAAATAGTTATAATTAAAAGGGTGACTGAAGGATGGATAGTGAAGGCCAGGCTTAGAAGGTCTCAGATGAAAATGAACAACTTACTGGGAGCAGAAGCCAAGGTAACTTTTCTTTTGCCTTAGCAAAGAACTTGGCTGGATGGTGCCCCTGCCCTGGTGACCTGTGAAACTTTGAACTTGAGGGTGATGATTTAGGGTATATCTGGTGAAATGAACTTCTAGGCAGCAAAGCTCAAGAGGTATCTTGTCTGTATTGAACAGCCTGTGGTGTTCTGTGTGACCAAATAAATGACCTCAAGTTGAAACTTATATTTAAATGAGAAGCAGAGCTTTGAAGTTTGATTTACAGCCTGCCCAAGAGGTCAAAAAGAAAAGCTGATTTTTAGTGGGAAAATTCAAGAAGGCTTCAGAAATGTGCATAAAATGGAGCCCAGTGCTAATAGCTAAGACAATGTTAAAAAGGCCTTGAAGGCATTTCAGAGACCTTTGCAGCAGAGCTTGCTGTCAAAGGCCCTGAGTTCTAGGACCAAAGAATGGTTTCCTGGGTCAGTCCCATGGTCGCGCTGCTGTGTCCATCCTCAGGACAGTGCCGCCTGCATCCCTGCAGCTCCAGCTCCAGCTCCAGCCATGGCTGAAAGATGCACAGGTACAGCTTGGGTCACTGCTTCAGAGGGTGCAAGCTGCAAGCCTTGGTGGCTTCCACATAGTGTTAAGCCAGCAGGTGCACAGGCTTGGGAGCCTTTGTCTAGACTCAAGAGTATGTAAGGAAAAACCTCAGTGTCCAGCTGGGCAGAAGCTTTTCCAAGAGGCAGAGCCTCATGGGAAACCTTTACTAGGGCAGTGCAGAAGGAACATACAGGGTTGATGCCCCCATACAGGGAGGAACCATTTTCCAGACCCCAGATTCATAGACCCACCAACTGCTTGCACCCTCAGTGTGGGAAAGCCACAGGCACTGACCACCAGCCCAGCCCACGAGGGCAGCTGTGGGGAAAGACCCTGCACAGCCACAGAAGCTGAGCTGCCCAAGGCCTTGGGAGCCCCGCCATCCACTCTTGTGCTCTAGATGTGGGATGTAGATCCTTTCAGGAAAGATGATTTGGAGCTGTAGGATGGAATGACTTTCCTGCTGGGTTTTTGACTTGCATGGGGTCTGCAAGTCCCATCTGTGTTTTGTGCTTCCCTCTGACAAATTTCTTCCTTTTGGCTGGGAATGCTTACCCAATGTCTCTACAATCATTGTACCTTGGAAGTAGTTAACTTGCTTTGTATTTCAGAGGCTCGAGTAGAAGGGATGGCAGCGTTGTCTCAGATGAGACTGGGCTTTGGACATTTCAGTAAATGCTGGAATGAGTTAAGACTTTGGGGGACTGTAGAGAAGGCATCATTGTATTTTGCAGTGTGACAACGATATGAGATGTGGGGGGACCTGGGTGAGAATAATATGATTTGGCCCTGTGTCACTACCAATACTCTCGTGAAATTGTAATGGGGAATGTTAAAGGTGGGGCCTGGTGGGAGATGATTTAATCATGGAGAAGAGTGGGGGTTGGAGGTGGGGGAGTGGGGAGAATAGGAGAGATTATTTTGTGGGTGGGGGTGAAAAATGAGGGGGGACGGATTCTTCACAACTGGTGAAACACTATCTCCTTAATACTGTCTGCGTGATAGTGAGTTCTCTTGATGATTATGGAGCTTAAAGATTGAGTGAATATTGTCCTGCTGGGGTTTGGACTGACATTTTTGTCATTTTTCTGGGGAATTTCTTCCCTTTGGATTGAGAAACCTTACTTAATGCTTGTACTATCATTGTATCTTGAAAGAAAAGAAATGCCTTTTGAACTCAGGGACTGATAGGCCGAAGGGACTGTAGCCTTGTCTCAGATGAGACTTTGAATTTTTTATATTTGGAATGAGTTAAGAATTTTGGAAACTTTTGAACATGCATGACTGTGTTTTGCTGTGTGAGAAGGACATGAGGTTCTGGGGTATCTGGGTCAAATAATATGGATTGACTGTGTGTCCATATAAAACTCATATGGAATTGTAATCCTTAATTTTGGGGCCTGGTGGTAGGCGATTTAATCTTGAATGGGAGGGGGTTCGGGGTGGTAGGAAAAGGAGGGGTAGGGTGGGGAGGAGTAGGTTGTCAGTAGGGTGGTAGGAGGATGGGGGGTAGTAGGAAGGGGGAGTAGCCTTCTGCAGAGGCAGAGGCTCATGGAAAACCTCTACTAGGGCAGTGCACCTGTGGCTTTGCAGGCTTTAGCCCCATGGCTGCTCTCATGGGCTGGGCTGGTGTTGAGTGCCTGTAGCTTTTCCATACTGAGGGTGTGAGCTGTTGGTGGGCCTATGAATCCGGGATCTGGAGGATGGTGGCCTCCTTTTTGGGGGCTCCAAGCCCATATTTTCCTTCTGCACTGCCATAGTGGAAGTTTCTCAAGAGGCTTGGCCTCTGCAGGAGGCTTCTGCCTGGAAACAGTGGGCGGTGGTGTGGGTGCAGGATCTTCTTGATGCTGATCTCCTGATAGTGAGACCTCATGTGATCTGGTTGTCTAACAGGGTGTGGTACCTCTTTCCTCTCTCTGTCTTGCTCCTACCCCTGCCATATGAAACATCTCATTGCCACTTGGCCTTCTGGTATGATTAGGAAGGGCCTGGTCAGTGTGGGCCTGGTCAGTGAACTAGTCAGTTGGGACTTGGTCAGTGAGGCCTATTTACTGGGGGAATGGTCAGCCAGGGTCTGCTTAGAGAGGGTCTCATTAGAGGGATCGAGTAGTGCAGGTCTTGGTGAGTGGGGACCTAGTGGCAGACAAATGTTTGGTGTCTGGTCAGTGCAAACCTGGGCTGCAGGGCTTGGTGAGTGGAGACCTGGTCAGCTGTGGCTTAGTGGTAGCCTTGTCAGAATGGGCTGGGTCACTGGTGACCCGGTCAAGGGGTGCTATTCAGTGGAGGCCTGGTCACATGGCACCTAGTCAGCAGGGCATGTCCTCATCAGTGAGACCCTTGTCAGTGGGACCCTGGTCATGGCAGCCTGGTCAGGTCAGTGGAACCTAATCAGTGGGGGCCTGGTCAGAGAGGACTTGATCAGTGGTGGCTTTTGTAGCACTGGTCTATGGGGTGACCTGGTCAACGGGGGTCTGAGCGGTACATGCCTGTTCAGTGGTGCCTAGTCACTAGGTTCCTGGTCGGGGCATCTGGTCACCGCAGGCCTGGTTAGTAGGGACCTGGTCACTGGCAGCCTGTTCCCTGGAGACCTGGTCAGTGGGGCTTCATCTGTGGGGCCAGGCAATGGGGTCATGATTGGTGGAATGTGGTCAGGGAGGCCTTGTCAGTGAGGCCCTGGTCAGTGAGGCCTTGTCAGTGAGGTCCTTGTCAGTGGGGTCCTGGACACTGTGGGCCTGGCAGCGGGAATCTAGTTAGTGGGGCCTGGTGATGGGGGCCTAATCAGTGAGAGTGTGGTCAGGGAGGACCTGATGTGCGGGATCTGGTCAGCAGGGACCTGGTCAGTGGGGCTGCTGAGCACTGCTGGGAGGTGTCAGGGGAAATGCATGTTATCAGGGGCCCTATGGACAGCTGGGATGGCCCAGTGGTGTCCAATGGCCCAGTCAAAAGTGGACAAAGCAGGTGTTTGGATGGACCTGGGAGATCTTGCTCAGAGATTCTGAAAGAACAAAGGTAAAGGAAGGGCCAGAGTGGCTAGAGAGATGGTAACAGTCTATGGGCTGCACAGGATGGAGGAAGCCAGGGAACAGGCAGGGTGGGCAGTAGGGGTGCAGGGAGAGGCAGGTGCATGCTGGGAGGTCGGACCCTGTGAGGGCTGTGGGGGCGTCAGGTGGGGTGGGCTCCAGGTGCACTCTCAGTGTGCACTGGGCAGGTCTCGGTCCAGGCTCTCTGGACCCTGGTCGGGTGATGTGGTCACTCCCTGGGGGACTGCTGTCAGGCCTAGCCACCCACCCTTGGCAGCACTGTCCCATCTCAGGACTGGACTTTCTCAGATCCTGCAGAGGGCACAGCCTCCAGCCCAGGAGGGGCAGCCCCTTGGTGCAGCCTAAGCTCTCCATGGGCCTGGAGCATCCCTGCCAGCCCTGCGCTCCCTCTACTCCCAGGTCCCGCTTTTCAAGTGTCAGCCAGCAGAGAGGCTCCGTCCTCCCTTCCCTATGTGTCTCCTGGGCTAAAACTTGGGGCGCATTGGGACAGGGATGGTGCTTTCCTCAGGCCCATTTAGGGAGGGGACTGGCTCCCAGCCTGGCACAGGTCCTCAGCTCTGCCTTGGTTGCCTTAGAGTGACATGGATCAGTCAGTGCCCTGAAGGTAAATGGAAGAGACTGTCCCTGCTGTGTGGGAGGCTGGTCTAGGGATGGAGGACTTGGCAGGTCCTCCCAGTCTGTCAGGCCTGGACAGCACTGTCCTGTCTCAGGACTCAGAAAATCCGGTCTTGGGATGGGACGGTGCTGCCCAGGGTGGGTGGCCAGGGCTTGACAGCAGTCCCCCAGGGAGTGACCACATCAGCCAACCAGGGTCCAGGGAGCCTGGCCTGAGACCCACCCAGTGCATTGAGGGTGCACCTGGAGCCCACCCCACCTGATGCCCCCACAGCCCTCGCAGGGCCTGACCTCCCAGCATGCACCTGCCTCTCCCTGCACCCCAGATGTCCACCCTGCCTTTTCCCTGATTTCCTCCATCCTGTCCAGCAGGATGGGCTGGTCAGTGGGATAGCCTCTGTGCACATTTTGTGGCAAGTAGGAGTGACACATCATTCCTGGGAGGCCCCGTGGTTCCTGCCAAACCCAACCCCAGAATTCTCCCTGAGGTGGTTTTACCAAACCCATAACCCAGAACTGCTATTGTGGTTTGGGGGTCAGCACCCACCAGTGCCAGGGCACTACTGGGAGGCTGGGACCTGACCAAAGCCCATGGTGTCTGTGGCCTGAGGACAGGGTGTCTTGGGGCCATGAGGACAGGCCACCAATGGCCGTTGGGTCATAGGGCCTGAGCCCCAGTGTTTGTCCTTCCCTGGCTCCTTCTGGTTCAGTCCCATCAGGGCTCTGGATCCCAAGACGCAGCATCCAAGGTTCCCTCCAGGAATCCTGGTGGCTCGGCTTACTTTGTCATGTTTCATCTGATAGCAAAAATATCAGATCGGCTGCACAGAAAAATGGCTCAAAGTGCTTAATGACCAGAAGAAATCTGGGAGTAGCAAGAAGGTAATGTGGAGAGGGGAGGACCTCCATGACTGGTGTCTGCAGAGCCAGGGGTACAGGGACCCAGTGCAGTGACCTGGCACCACCTGCCTCTCAGAGGGTGGGTAGCACACTGTCCTTACCTGGGGGACAGCAGGCCTGGTCACCGGCTTTTCTCCCTGTCCCTGCAAGCATCACATTGCTGGAAGAGAATCTCATGCCAGAGCTTGGACCATCCCTAGCTTGGGGGTTAGGGGTTGTCTCTTGGTGACCTAAATGAAAAAATAGGTCCAGATCAGAGTTCGTGATGCATAGCACTCACCCACTCTTTGAATCATGGGAGGGGAGGCCTAGTCCTAGGTAAACCTAAACTCTTTGAGGAACCACAGAGCCCAAGGCTGGAAACCTCCAGAATCCTCCAGCCCCTGATCCCCCCCCCCCCCGGGGACCTCTGTGGCCTGTCTCACCAGAGCACTCTTCTGTCTGTAGAGGTCTCAGGTGCTCTACAAGGGAGTCCCATTTCAGGTGTGGGGCTGGGTATGGTCACTCCTGCTGGATGTCTAGAAGGTGAAAACCAAGGACCTAGGAAAATACCAGATACAGCCTTTCCACCGTCATCCAGAGCAGGACAAACACGCCAGGTGGTGTCAGGAGCCCAGGTCTCCAGCTGGAGGGAATGTCAACCCTGCAGTGGGAGCCCATCATGCATCCTAGGCACAGATGCTAACGTAGGCACCGCAGGTAAGCTGGGTTTGGTACCCCTTCCTGGCTTCAGAAAGAAGCCAAACAAGGAGCTTTCTGCAGAATGAAACCTCTTTTCCATCCAGAAGCACTGCTGACTGTTTGGTGGTTGCTGTTAGGGCAGTGAGCCTTTTGTCCATTCTGAGATTAGGCTGGTTTCTCCTCTTGGCCCTGGCCTACAGACCATAAAGGAAAACAGCAAGAGGTCCCCAGCAAACATCTACAGATGGCCCTGGACATCAGCCACATTCAGAGAAACGTGTCATGTTCTGGGAGGGCTAAGGCATCGAGTAAGGCCTATGGGGCTGGAGGATCACAGGGCAGGTGGGGCAATCCAGAGCTGTGGGGGCTTCCATGGGAATTGGGAGGTCCCAAGGCAGAGGTAGGGGTTCCACAGGAGGAGTCACAGAGCCACCAAGGGCTCTCCTGGCCCAGGGAGCAGTCAACACCATGGACTGAACACCCACTGGGCTAAGCCCTGGGCCAGGCTGGGGCATGTGGGGCCAGGAGGCAGCTCAGAGTGGGAGACAGAGAGACAAGTGTGCTCAGAGGGCACCCATATCTGCATATAACGTGGTCCTGAATTTCTGGCTGGGAAGTGCTTCCAGGGTTTCATATGTGTTATGGAGATGCTTCCTCTCTCCAACCTCACCGTGCAGGAATCCCAGTGAATATATTGCCACCATCTTGGAGCTCAGTGCCCTCATAGTGTAACAGCACCAGCAGATCTGCCTGTGCACAGACTTCCTGTACTACCTCACTCCTGAGGGGAGATGCTTCTGCAGGGCCTGCGACCTGGTGCACAACTTTAGACACCATCATCCTGGAGCGGCACTGCACCCTCACTAGCCAGGGTGTTGATGACTTCCTCAATGCCAAGGCCACGTTCAAGATTTTCGACTTCAGTGATGCGTTTGTGCTGAGCAAGGTGGGCTTCTCCGGGATCTTAATTCAGGAGGTAGAATGCAGCTTGAGATCTAGTGTCTGATCAAAGAACTTGAACTTGACCTGGAGGGCTCTGGGGAGCCATGGAAGGTGCTGGATAAAGGAAGGGACAGTCATATATATTTTAGAGATGACTGTGGAAGGCTGCCTGGAAGGAGTGAACAAGAGCCAGGAGACCAGGGAGGGAGTTTGTGGGGCAGGTCTGGAGATGGCAAGGGAGGGATCCTGCTTGGATGAAAGGTCTTCAGGGACTGTCTCAGGTTACACTCAGGTGCCCTCAGAGCTACTGTGTTCAGGGTTCTTGTCTCCAGGATGAAAATAAGGAGGAGTTGTCAGACAAGGACATATACATGGAGGCTGGCATCTTCATGAGTGCCAATCGTGGTCCTGGTGTGGACTACTGTGGGAGCAGGGGTCTCTCCATCCAGGGACATGGTGGATGGACCCTACATCACTCCATTCTGCCCTTCCTTTCCCTCCCATTCTCCTGAGGGACTCAATGCATGGGCACTGTCCAACCTCTGGTGCTGAAGCAGCCAAGAGACCCAAGCCTGCCTTGCTGCCACTTAGGATATGACAGCACAGCCAGTGGCCTCTACTGGATCCTGGTACCCCTCAGAAGACACCCAGACACTGGGAGTGCTGCCACCTCGTGGTGCAAGAGTTCTGAGGGACGGCAATTCTGAAGACATTGAATGGTGGGTGCTGGGCCTCATGGCTGTTCCCCAGCCCCTCTCATTGGCTCTGCTCCAGGTGGAGAAGGGGGATGATGTCTCTGTCAGTTCTGCTGTTTTAGCCTAGAAGGAAAAGAAGCAGAGCCCAGAAGCAGGGCCTGGTACCCAGCCTGCCTAACAAGGGAGAATTTGTAGGCTTTGTGGACAGAAAGATCTGGGACTCCATGTCACCCACTAACTTGCTGAGACATTAGTAAAATCAGTTTTCTTTTCTGAACTATGTTTCTGTCATCTGTACATTGAGAGGAATTTCTTTTACTCCACGAGGCTGCTTGGAGAATTAGTGACAGTGTGTGTAGAGCATGTGCCACCCAGCAGGCATTTGGTGTCGAGACCACACCTCCTCCCCCTTCATTTTCAGCCTAAATTTGCATTTTGTTCTTAAGACTTTCACTCGCCTTAATTTTACTCTTTCCTCTGATTCCCACCTTATCGTCTATCCCATGGAGTCACTAGGATCTAAGTGGGTAACAGTCATGTATGCATGTATGTGTATGTACGTATATACTTTGTTGGTGTTGGAGTGTGGTGTGTGAATGTGTGTGTGTGTGTGTGTTGGAGTTACTGGGTGACTGAAACTGTACACATCAGGCTGTGGTTCTGCCCATTGCTGGAAGCGCTGTCAGGGGTCCTGCCCTCAACCCCAGGTCTGACCCTTGCAGCGCAGGCAGGACATTCTGGAGGAATCATGCCCTTGGGAGGATCCCTGAGGAGTGACTGGTGGGTATTGGTGGATAAATACCCCTGGTCCCTTGCTCTGGGTATGATGACTCTGAAGCACATGTTCTGTGCTGTCTCTCAGAGGTACCTGGCAGGGCTGAGTCCTGGCTGCCACAGTGGAAACTTTCTTGATGAAGGTCCCTTTAACTGCTGCATTCCTTTCCTGTCTCAGTTCCCCACTCCTCCACTGATGTTTCCTGGGATTAGCACCCTAAGGAAGAACTGGCAGTCGAATTAATATCCTAGCGTTATCTCCAAACAAAATTTTTGTATTTGAATCTTTGCCTCAGGATCTACTTCCAGGAAATTCAGACTAAGACACACATTTTTCTTTTGGCTCCTTGAATCCCCATAGGCCTGACATTTTGCTGTTTTTATCAAAAAGGAACATGAGGATCAGAGAGGGAAAGTCACTTGCCCAAAGTCACCCAGCTGAACAGTGGTAGAGTTCAACTTTGATCATGAGATGTCTGGCCCCCAGGTGGAGGCTTGCTCCTCTCCCATGAGACTCCTTCCTTATCAGGGTCAAATGAATGAATGGAGGATGTTAAAAGTGGGGTCTCTGATGCCTTTGCCAGATAAACCCCAGGCTCATGGCTGGCGCCTGTTTTCTCATTCTTACCTCATTAAGAGTAGTAATGAAAAACATGCTCAGTGCTGACCGTGTGCCTGGGGGTGTTGTAGGCACTCCACTTACTTTAATTCATTTAATTTTCACAATAACCTTGTTTTTACTTCTAGTTGTTATATGAAAAAACTGAGGCAAAGAGCAATACAGAGAGTTGCAAAAATTCATACCGCTGGTCCAGGTTTGAACCAAACAGTCTGCACCTGGAGTCCTTGTTTGTAACCATGGCACCCTGTCTTCACACATATCTCATCGTGGAGTTCCATCTTGTGTTAGGCATGGCACTGAGCAGCTTCTTTTAAGAACATAATTTGTAGCCAGGCGCAGTGGCTTATGCCTGTAATCCCAGCACTTTGGGAGGCCGAGGCGGGCAGATCACGAGGTCAGGAGATCCAGACCATCCTGGCTAACTTGGTGAAACCCCGTCTCTAATAAAAACACAAAAAATTAGCTGGGCATGATGATTGGCGCCTATAGTCCCAGCTACTTGGGAGGCTGAGGCAGGAGACTGGCATGAACCCGGGAGGTGGAACTTGCAGTGAGCCGAGATGGCGCGACTGCACTCCAGCCTGGGCGAGAGAGCAAGACTCCATCTAAAAAAAAAGAAAAAAACATGATTTGTAATTATGTAAATTACTAATTCTACTTCAAAGTGCCACACAGCCTTCATGTGATAAAATGAAGCAATTGGTAAGTCTAAGCATTGAGAAAAAACATTATTTTTCCCAGCTCCATTGCAACAGTTGGGACAGTGTTTTCTCTGTGCCTATAGAAACCTCAGCTAGTGTGCCGAGGAGTCTGGTCCCTTTGGGGAATGTGGCAGTCAGGTTCTGGCAGGGACCTCGAAGTGGCTGGTAATGTCTTTCATTACCACCACCACGTGACCTGGTCTTACGACCTGTTAGCTTCCTTCATCAGGCATGAGCACCAGGATGGCAGGGGCCTCATCTGTCCTGTTCCTCCTGTGGCCTGGGTCCTAGCACCATGTCTGGTACAGTGTAGGTGCTCAAGGGAAGTTTACTTTATAGAACTGTCTACCTGGGAGATGTTGCTGTTAGTCTAACCTGTACCATTTTGTAAACCTGCAGCCGTTTTGCACACCCTGGTCAGAATGAAACATTCCTTGGGAACTCGGGCCGTGAGAAGCATCCTTCCTGATCACCTGACTGTAGAAACATCCTTATCGCACCCTCCCGGGCAAAGGCCCAACAGCCTGACTGCAGGAACATCCTTGCCATATCCTGCCGGGCAGCAAGCTCTACCGCCCACACCCCTCCTTCCCAGTCCCATGATCACCCCAGCCTGTGAGAGGCAGTTGGTGCTGGCAGTAAGCTGGTTTCCTCCTCTGCAGGGTTTTGCTAGTAATAAAGGTGTTGCTGTTGAAGCCGTCAACTGTCTTTCTCTGTCTTTCTTTAACCCTTGCCTTGCCTTCAAAATCTAACAATAGCTCTACCTCTCCATTTTACCAAGGAGGATATGAGACTCAAGGAGAGCAAGAGACTTACCCAGAATTACAGAGCCAGTGAGTCACAGAACTTGAACTTGAGCTCAGTTCAGCTGAATCCAGAACTCATGTCTTCCTGAGAGTCCAGGGAAGGAAAGGTGGAACTGCAGCCAGTGGGTGCCCACAGGCTTGTCCTAGGAGACCACATGCAGCCTCCTGGGAATTGTGTCCTCTTGGGCACAAAAGAAGAACTGTTCACCTGTGCTGCATCAGCTAAGTGTCCCCATTGTCCCAAATTGTTGTATTTTTTCAAAGTTTCATTTTAGTAACTAGATTTCTCACAGCTCAGTGTTGAAAACAAAGCACAGAGGCATATAGAAAGCCGTGTTTGGGTTTTTCTCATTTTTTTCCCAGTGACTATACAAATGAATGTACAAAAGAGCACAAATACGCTCATACTTTTTATATAGAGATGAGGCCCCCCCCACTCATATTCCTCTGCCACTACCCTTCCTTTTTTTTTTTTTTTTTTTCTTTTCATGGGAGGACCTGTCTTTCAATACTAGTCCATGTGATTTGGGAAGGCTGACCCACCCTGGGCAATCAGATCAGCAGGGTAATTGATTCAGGAGTGGTCATGTGATCCAAGCTGGGCTCATGGAAGTCATCCCTGAACTTCTGATGAAACTGCTGGGAATGAGGTGCTTACTTTTTATTGGCATATCTATTTGTAAGGAAGTAAGTGATGTGAACTTTATGGGGCCATTTTTGCTGCTCTCTCAAAACAGCTTGCCTGAAAAGCAGAGCTGACACAGGAAATGAAGGGACAGAATGAGCCTTGGTTGATATTAGTTGACCCCTGATCCCACTGAGACAGAAGCCCATCTACTCATGTACATTTTTAGTAAGTAAAGCCAAATAATTCAATGTTCTGCTGGATCCAGTTAGGTTTCAGTCACTTGCAGTCAAGAGAGTCCTGCATAATAGCACTTTCTGTGATGCTTAGGTCCCACCTGCCAGAGCTTTAGAACTGTAGAAGGGTAAAGTGAACCCAGGCAGTGCTGAGCTAGCCAATCTCCTGGCTAAGTGTGCAAAGGAACCCTGGAGTCACTACCACTTTGGTCTGAAAAATAGCCTTGCCTGCTGCTTACCATACAGCCATAGGGGTATTGCTTCCCTGAGCCTGTAGGCATTATACCTCTTTTTAAAAATGATGTTTATTTAAGAAAATGTTTTGTGTAGATGGTGTCTTGCTATGTTGCCCAGGCTTGTCTTGAATTCCTGGCCTAAAGTGCCGAGATTATAGGCATGAGCCACTTTGTTTGGCCAGCAGTATACTTCTATTAGTTGTCAATGCTTTTTTGTTCTGTAGTTTCTAGTGTGTGCTTGAGGATGCGTGTGTATGTGTGAGTTTATGTGTGTGTATGTATGCGTGAGAGTGTGTGTGTGAGTTTGTGTGTGTGTGTGTGTGTGTGTGAGTTTTTACCTTTATCTTGCAGGGTTATTGCAAGCATCAAGTGGGATCCCGTAGGCGCAGTACTCAGTCCAGTGACTGGCACATACAGTGAGCTCTCTCTGTTCTCTTTTCTCCTCCTGATTCAGAGAATGACTTAAGGATCTGTGACGTGTGCCAGTTTTCAACGCCCTGCATAAATAATGGGGAGTACTGTTGCCATAACTTTGCACTAGTTTTAATTCATTTTATCTGTTTAGCATGAGATACCTCAAAGTCCCTGAATAAATTTATGTCATATATATATATATATATATACACACACACACACATAAGTATGTTTCTTGAGAGCTGACAAGCTTAGTTTTGGTTCCCTGATGCTGCAGTAGAGGCCACTGTGTTCTGATTTTTGAGTGATGGCTGCCAGCTCTCCAAGTGTCACAGTCAGTGAGGCATCCATGGGGGCAAGCGCCAAGGATGAGTGTGGCCAGTCAGCATCTGCAAGCCCGTTTTGTCTATCCTCTTTATTTTTATAATATGTTTTATTCATTTTTTAGGTTTATCATTTAATCTGTTGTAAACTTCTCTCCTAAAATGTTTCTTAGTTCTACTAGGGGTTAGTTTCATGAAACAAGTCCAGAAATAGTCCACGGCAGCCAGGGATACACAACATGCCATTGGGGAGGGAGAAATCTTGTAGATTGAAGGTTTTGTTGTAGGGACAATCTTTCCAATGGTCTTCAAGTTGCTAAACCCAACTCAGGGCATTTCATCCTATTTCCAGAGAGCAGCAAGCAGAGAAAGCAAAGGGAAATTGGTCAACAAAAAAGAGGAACAATAACTCTCCCCTTTCCAAACAGATTTTCAGAAATCCAAAGCAGTGAATTCTGCATTTCACATTGGCCAGGACTATAAGATTCGCTCACTACAGTTACGAGAAAAACTGGGAAACTCATTTAAAGACGTTAACCAGGGCCAGGCATGGTGGCTCATGCCTGTAATTCCAGCAATTTGGGAGGCCAAGGTGGGAGAATCACTTGAGCACAGGAATTTGAAACCAGTCCAGGCAACATAACGAGACCCAGTCTCTACAAAAACAAAACAAAACAAAAGCTGGGTGTGGCGGTGCACACCTGTTATGCCTGCAGTCCTACCTACTCAGGAGTCTGAGCTGGGAGATCACATGAGCCCAGGAGTTCAAGACTGCAGTGAGCTCTGATCATGCCACTGTACTCCAGCCTGGGAGACAGAGTGAGACCATTTTTCAAAAAAAAAAATTATAAAATAATAAAATATGCATAAATAAATAAATAAATAAAGACATTTAAACAGTGCTCCTTGGAAAAAGTGAATCTATGTTCCCTTAGTGAAGAAGATGAGAATAATGGATATAGCAGGGAAATGGACAGCATTGGCCACATTAGACCAAAATGAAAGTCATAACAGGTACCCCAAATCAGTACCATTAAAACCACATAATGTGACCATAATGCAGTCAAATTGTGACCAACAAAAAACAAACTGACAAAAAAGGTATCATGGAGCATACGAATTCTAAATCTAAATTGAATGGAGCTCAGAAGGGCTTCCCACTGAAAATGAAACCATGTGTATGTAAATGAATTGTAACAAAGCTACTACATAGCAACATTAAGGTGGCAGAGCGGAAAGGTTGCTAAGACAGATATCTGTCATCTTGTACCATTTTTTAAGAAAGGAAAAACTACAAAATTATGAATTTGAGTTATAATTGAGGGATAAGACAATGATAAAGTCAATAATTGTTAACGTTTACTGTGCTTCAGTCCTACCCTGTGCTCATTCATGCCCAATAAGTGAAGAGCTGGAACTGAAAGCTTTCTTATATTTATTCAATTGTAGTCTCCCTCCAGGGTGTGGAATCATGTATAAAGGAGGGATAGTGTTTAAAGAGGTATTTTCTGCATTTTTTACTTCCATAAGCAGTCTCTGCTGTGTGAGTTCTTGTATGAACTATGAGTCTGAGACAACACTGAGGCTTTTTTCATATTCCTTACTTTCATAGCTTCTCTCCAGTGTGAGAACAAATATCTACTCACGATGAATGAAGATGAAAGGCTTTCCATAGACTTTACCTTCAGAGGGTTTCTTTTCACACTTCTGTAAGATAGGAGAGTTCAGGAAAGATGTTCTCATGCATGTTAACTCATTGAGCTCCCTTCCAGTATGTCCTCCTCACATGTTCAGTACGGTGAAAAATTAATGATGATTTCCCTGCCACTCACAGGGCTTCTCACTATTGTGAATCTTAAGATGGCTTTTAATTCTGGTGACTTTGCAAAGTCTTTTTCACATTTATCACATTTATAGGGTTTCTTCCAGTGTGACTCCTTATATGTGCATGTTTTGAGCCTTGCTGAAGGCTTTCCCACATTCCTTACATCCATAGGGCTTCTCCAGAATGTTCTTTCTTAAATATTTATTAAGGTGTAGGGAATATCTAAAGCCTTTCTCACTTTTGTTACATTCATAAGGTTTCTCTCCAGTGTGAAGTTTCATATGTCTCATAAGAAATGACTGATAACGTAAAGGCTTTCCTTCATTTGGGACATGTATGGCTTTTCTCTCCAGTAGTACTACTCCTGTGTGGACCAGAATTTGGAGCAGGACAGAGGTTTTTCCACTTTGATGATTCTTATTCTTCATCTCTACAGAACAGAACTGCATCTGGACAGCATGGACTGAGTTATTTCTGAAGATGTTTTCACATTGAGTAAAATTATACATTTTCTCCCTAACATGAGTTATGTGTGCCCTAAGGCACATGTCTTCACTACAGGCTGATTCAAATGGACTCCACTCATGAATGTTTGTCCTTGTATTAATTTTACTATGTATATGATGGACATTGTTCTGACTGCCTGTCCATGTGTTTGATTTTAGCTGTTTTTCTCCCATATGAAACCCAGTGAATGTTGCACTTCAAGACTATCATGTTGATTGTTTTCATATATATTACTTTATTGCAATAGTTTTTGGGAAACAGGTGGTTTTTGGTTACATGGAAAAGTTATTTAGTGGTGATTTCTGAGATTTTGGTGTACGCATTACTCAAGTAGTGTACATTGTACCCAATGTGTAGTCTTTTATCCCTCACCCCCCTAACCTTCCCTCTGAGTCCCCAAAGTCTATTAAATCATTCTTATGCCTTCACTCTCTCATAGCTAAGCTCCCACTTATAAGTGAGAACATACAATATTTGTTTTTTATTCCTGAGTTACTTCACTTACAATAATCATCTCTAACTCCATCCAGGTTGCTGCAAGTGTCATTATTTGATTCATTTTTAGGGCTGAGTAGTATTCCATGGTGTATCTATAACACATTTTCTTTGTCCACTCATTGGCTGATAGACATTTAACCTTGTTACACATTTTTGCAACTGTGAGTTGTGCTGCTATGAATGTGCATACATGTGTCTTTTTCATATGACTTCTTTTCCTCTAGGTGGATACCCAGGAGTGAGCTGATACTAATTTAAATAGAGATAATTATAAAATAAAGTAATGACCAAGTGAAAATTACCATTTCTAGTAGTAAAACAAGATACCTTTATTGAGTAAAGCTTGAACATATTTCTGCCCACATAAAGGACATATAACTTTTGTATTTTGTATAAATGATATGCTTTATCTCACTAGACTCATCCTATGGTTAATTGGTGGGGGATGGTTGGAGAAAGTAACATATCTTTAAATTTAGCTTCTTGATTCACATTTTTCTTCAAGTTTCAATAGCTCTCTTTTAGTTAAATGCCTCCAGGAAGATGTTCAGATGCTTTGGGCTTTCTGTGGCCTCAAGGCAAAGGGAAAGTGAATCTGAAGTCTCTTATTGTCTTCATGCTGTTCTCTAGACCTCTGCTTTCTCTGTGGCAGAGGGTCTCTCTGGTCTGATCGCTGGGGCCATTGCATTGCTATTCTCTGAGGTGAAGCTTGTACTCTCGCATCAGAGTACAGTGGAATTCTCTTGCTTTATTAGCCTCCTGTTGGCTTGGATAAGATCTTCAGATCTCTGTGAGTTTCAGCATCCTTCTTCCACAGTATGTCTGGAATGGTCACATGGGACTTTTTGGCAGGATCATTTTGCCCCTTGGTGCAGTGGCCCCATGTTATGTATGTTAGTTTTCAACTCAGTTAAGTTGCTTCTTATTTACCTCTATGACACTTCCACATTGCATAGATTCATAGGTCTAGTAGGAGGTTTTTTATATAAACCAAGCTGCCAGGAACAGAACAATGCTCGCACAGTAAGTCAGACAAACCAAATTTATTACTCACAGAGGAGCAGGAAGAATCAGCAAAACCGTTAAGTTCTATGGCAAGCCTGACCCTTGAGGTCAGAAAAGTTGCCCAGGGTTGGTGGAGTCTCCTCTGCACATGCCCCACTGTGTACTGCGCTGAGGAACCCCTGAGTGCTCCGCCCTAGGTTTCACACCCCACGTGCACCTTGGCTCTCTGAGTTTAAGGGCTGCAGTAATATCCTGTTCTAGGAACAACAAGGACAGAGCCCAGACTGTCCCAGACGGTTTCTACTCATCTCAGGATATTGTCTTCTTGGAACATTCTAAAGTTATTCTGAGAACTAGGAGGTACAGAAAGCTGAGTTGGTCAAGGCCATTCAGGTCTTGTCCTCCTGACCACAGAAACAAAGTAGACTATAAAACAATAAGCATTGGCAGAAGTAATCATATTGCATTATGATAGCCATTCTTCATTATGATAAAAAGAATTTATCCTCCAAAAAGTTATCTGAGTTCTAAATCTGAATGAACCCAGCAAAACATAGATTTGGGACTGTTGTTACAGTTTAATAAAATATATACTAAACCAATAAATTTAATTAAATACATAAACTCTAGAAGTATAAAAATCATAAAGGCTCATTTCAGTAAAGGTTGGCATACAAAGTTATCAGATGTATGACAGAGTAATAGAAAATGTTGACACTGCTTAGGGCAAAGTGAATATGATTGATATTCAGATGAACAAAGAAGATAGTAAACTCAATAGAAAAATGGGCCAAAAAATTCAATACATTGTTAACAATCTGACAAATGCAAATGTACACAAATAAAATGAGATCTGTATTTTCACCACTTGCTTAGAAAATATAAGAATCCTAGATAACATTGAGTGATGAGGATATGAGGAAAACAAGCTTTATGGGCAATGGATGGAAAATTAAATGGTTTTAACCATTTCAGAAAATAACATGACAGGACCCATTTGAAAGTATGCATACTCTACAACCTGTCTCGATGATGGGTACATATCCCTGATATAATTTGGATGTGTGTCCCCTCCAAATCTCATGCTAAAATATGATCCCCAATGTTGGAGGTGGGGCCCAGTGAGAGGTATTGGATCATGGGGTGGATGCCTTATGAATAGCTTAGCACAGGAATGTCCAACCTTTTGGCTTCCCTGGACAGCATTGGAAGAAGAATTTTCTTGAGCCACACATAAAATACACTAAAAATAGCTGATGAGCTAAAATAAATAAATACATAAATAAATAAAAATAAAAAAACCACACACACACACAAACACACACACACACACACATACACAAACTCTCTTTTAACAAAGTTGACAAATTTGGGCCACATTCAAAGCTGTCCTGACCTGCATTCAGCCCACAAGCTGTGGGTTAGACAAGCTTGGTTTAGCACAATCCACTTGAGTGAGTTCTTCTCAGTGAGTTCATAGAGATCTGATTGTTAGAAACAGCCTGGGACTGCCCCCTTCTCTCTCTTACTCCCTCTCTGACCATGTGACACACTGGCTCCCCTTCACCTTCTGCCATGATTGTAAGCTTCTTGAGGCCTCACCCAGAGCAGATAGCATTGCTTCCTGTGCAGTCTGCAGAACCCCGAACCAAGATAAACCTCTTTTATTAAAAAATAAATAAATAAATTACCCAGCATTGGGTATGTCTTCATAGCAATATAAAGAGACTAACATAGCCCCTGACAAATTGTAACACATGACCAAAAAGTGTTTTCATAAGGATACCATAAGGAAGTGAATATTTCAGTAGCAGGATATCAGTGTGAATTCTACTGCAAGACTGGATAGGGAAAATGTGGTTGATTCATTTTATTGAAAACTATGCAGCAGCTACAGGGGAATAAACAACCAAAAATAACCTACAGCAATGTGGGAATGTATGAAGGATGTTATGCTCTGTGAAAAAATTAGAAATAAAATTAGATTTATAGCACAATACTCTTTAAGCAAAATGTATACACTCACGTATATACACATACACACACTCAGAAAACAACCTTCTTATCTTGTAAGAATTCTTTAAGAGTAAAGAACCTATATCAAACACATTAGCATGCCTGTCTGTGACAAGGGATAAGGAATAAAAAAATGAAACAAGTAAAACCAGAGAAACTTGTAGGAAACAATAATGATAATGTCTCATGAAGTAAAGAATGTGATTAATTTTTTGCAACTGTGGTATAAAAACAGATTGTCAAAATCAAATGTAATGAGCTTTAGCATAGAGCTTATTGTAGGGAAAAAATCAAATTTAAATACTTAGTTTATATAGTTTGATGCAGGAATGGTCTCCTATGTGAAGTAGTAAGATACACTAAACAATCCATGGGTGTATGGGAAGAAAATACTCAAAATGCTACTTACATTTATTTTTTACTCATTTTTCCAACAGTTTAATATCTAAATGCTAGGGGAGGCCAGATGTGATGACTCCCTGTCATTACACCTGTAATCCCAGTGCTTGGTTGGAGAGGGTGGGGGTCAAGGCAGGAAGAACACTTGAGGCCAAGAGTTCTAGACCAGCCTGGGAAACCTAGTCGGTTTTTGTGTCCACACACAAAAAAATTAAAAATTAGCCAAGCATGATGTCATGCACCTGTAGTTCCATGTACTGGAGAGGCTGAAGCAGGAGGATCACCTGAGGGAGGAGTTTGAGGCTGCAGTGAGCAATGATTATTCCACTGCACCATAGCCTGGGTGACAGAATGAGACCCTGTCTCTTAAGTGGAAATAAGTAAGTGCGAGGAGAACACGTGATCTTTCTAGTTTTCAGTCCCTCTTGCAGTTCCCTGTAGATTATTTTGCTTATTCCCAATGTTCCAGCTGTCTGCACATTGTAGGCTTGTTCTTCTACCTACTCAAGGCCCCAGATCCAGCAAATGTCCTCAGAGATGGGCTCTGCTGCTAATCTGTGATCACCAAGGAAGGGCTTGTTTTTCTCTGAAATTTAGTTCATTGACACTTTAGACCCACAATTTTTTGATGGCTTTAAACAAAAAAAAAATAATTTTTTAAAGTTCATCCGATATTTTCTCATTATGGCAGGAGCAATTGTCTTTGGTAACTTTATTTTAATTGGAAGAAGAATTTCTAACATTGGCATTGTAATGAGGTTTTTGGTCTTTGACCCTAGTGGAGCAATTAAATCCACGTCTATTTCTTCTGTTATGCATGTATTGAAGGATCAAATGAGAAAATATATGTAGAGTGCACAAAGTGTCTAATGTACACTAGTGATATACAGTTGTATTATGACTACACACCGAAAACACATAATCAACCAGATTGCTTCCTGAGAACTAGAGCCAGGCTTTTCCAATGATACTTAACTGTCAAATAATTCTATTCAATTTTTCATGGGACTTAGGGTTTGGTCCATGAAGTGCTGCCACAGTATGCAAATCAATTATATCAATAAATGTGCTAATTTATTCAGCAAACGTATTCTTGTAGCAATAGTTACTCAATGAAAGAAGTAACATATTTAATTTCTAGTAGAAGCTACTTCTCTCATTGTGAACTCGGTACAAAGCTTGAATGCTCTAGCTATTTTGAGGAGCATTAATAAGCATTACCTAAAGAAGATGATATATTCCCTAGACAACAAGAACTCTTATTTCTCTTTATCTTCTTTTTGATAAATGCTACAGTCTCTTGGTAGTGAATCCAGATTCTGTGGTGTGGGGAAAAGAAAGAGAGATCAGACTGTTACTGTGTCTATGTAGAAAGAAGTAGACATAAGAGACTCCATTTTGTTCTGTACTAAGAAAAATTCTTCTGCCTTGAGATGCTGTTAATCTGTAACCCTACCCCCAACCCTGTGCTGGCAGAGACATGCACTGTGTTGACTCAAGGTTTAATGGATTTAGGGCTATGCAGGATGTGCTTTGTTAAACAAGTGCTTGAAGGCAGTTTGCTTGTTAAAAGTCATCACCACTCTCTAATCTCAAGTACCCAGGGACACAATACACTACACACTACGGAAGGCTGCAGGGACCTCTGCCTAGGAAAGCCAGGTATTGTCCAAGGTTTCTCCCCAAGTGATAGTCTGAGATATGGCCTTGTGGGAAGGGAAAGACCTGACCATCCCCCAGCCAGACACCCATAAAGGGTCTGTGCTGAGGAGGATTAGTAAAAGAGGAAGGCCTCTTTGCAGTTGAGATAAGAGGAAGGCATCTGTCTCCTGCTCGTCCCTGGGCAATGGAATGTCTCGGTGTAAAACCGGATTGTATGTTCCATCAACTGAGATAAGGAGAAAACTGCCTTAAGGCTGGAGGTGAGACATGCTGGCTGCAATACTGCCCTTTAATGCACCGAGATGTTTATGTATGTGCACCTCAAAGCACAGCACCTTTTCTAACCTTGTTTATGGCACACAGACATTTGTTCACATGTTTTCCTGCTGACCCTCTCCCCACTATTACCCTATTGCCCTGCCACATCCCCCTCTCTGAGATGGTAGAGATAATGATCAATAAATACTGAGGGAACTCAGAGACTGGTGCCAGCGTGGATCCTCCATATGCTGAGTGCCGGTACCCTGGGCCCATGTTTCTTTCTCTATACTTTGTCTCTGTGTCTCTTTCTTTTCTCAGTCTCTCATCCCACCCAATGAGAAAAACCCACAGGTGTGGAGGGGCAGGTCACCCCTTCATGTGGGATGTACAAAACAATCCTCCACAAATTTAAATTTATGCCTATGATCATGTGTAATGAAATTAGCCCTCAAGAGCCAACTTGAGACCATGTTCAGAATGAAAGCTTCAGAAACCCATGGCAAACACATGAATATAAGGCCATTTTAGACACAGTCCCCAGATTACCTCTGAATTCAGTGGGGAAAAAGTGACAAGGAGCAATATTTAGGGCATCTAGGATAGTGCTACCTTCTCATCCCTAACATAAGCCAAATTAAAACTTCATACTAATGCTCTGAAGCCTAATAATAACTAGTAAGGTTTATGTCTGTCAAAAAGCCACTGCAGGCTACTGTTAAAACCAGCTACACAACCATCTGGAAGACATTTGCCTCCTTCTGGTTAAAAACAGTCCCATGTCTACTGATGATGTAGTTAAGGTTGTATCAAGATCTTCTATCTCTCAGCAGGGATGTGGTTTCCCAAATGCTAATATTTGACCAACAAAAGTTTTGCAGCCAGAGTTTGTGCAAGTATTGGTAGATAGAAAATACAAAATCCAACCATTTCTCATGAATGATTAAACAAAAAAAAGAATGCAAGAAGCCTGTGTGCATGTGCGTGGGTATATATGCATGTGTGTGTGTGTATTCAGGTTTGTTAACTTTATTAACTTTGTTTAAAATTTAATTTAAAAATTAGATTGGGGAGTAAATATCATTCTTCCTCTCTCATCATAAAACTTTTGGCTCACGGGATTCTGACATTCCATCATGCTTGGAAAAGTTGGATTTATGAAACCAGTTGCTGGACTGAGCCTGCCTATGCAGCTCTTACATGGGTGCTCCCTATTTTGTGCACAAGCATCCTCAAGAGACCAAAGATAGTGATTGAGAGAGACGGGCTCTGAAGTCTTTTTATTTCAACTTCTTGGAATCACCACCTTGTTAATGAACATCAAAATCTTTTGTGTCATTTATCAGATTAATTACTTTTTCCATAAAAAGAGTGAGTTGAGAGGATAACAAGAAACTCCCTGTCCCTGCTTCATCCTGAAAACAGGAGAATCAATATCTTAACTCTGTTTTTGAGAGATGAATGGGTAGGTCAACATTGCTTGGCTATTTGTCCTTCCATTTGGGACAGATTACCACTGCACTTTCCCCTCAATCTCTAGAATCATGGCTTATAGAAAACAATTTTGTACTGAATTACTAAATGCATCAAAACTTTATTAGACTTATTATCAAAGAGCATGCTCAGATGTATCTATTATAAATAGTAATAAAAATATAAAAACCTAAAAACAATATTATAAATAACAGAGAAAAGCTATGCACTGTTATGAAAGCCTTTCATATTTAGGGATATCAGGTAAGGTTTCCCTTGGTGGGGAAGATGAAGAGCAAACTAAAATAAGAGTAAGAGCTGGCTGGGTGTGGTGGCTTACACCTGTAATCCCAGCACTTTGGGAGGCTGAGGCAGGTGAATCACGAGGTCAGGAGATCGAGACCATCCTGGCTAACACTGTGAAACCCTGTCTCTACTAAAAATACAAAAAAAAAAAAAAAATTAGCCAGGTGAGGTGGCAGGCGCCTGTAGTCCCAGCTACTCTGGAGGCTAAGGCAGGAGAATGGCATGAACCTGGGAGGTGGAGCTTGTAGTGAGCTGAGATCACACCACTGCACTCCAGCCTGGGCAACAGAGCAAGACTCCATCTCAAAAAAAACAAACAAAAAAACCCAGTAAGAGCTAATTATATAAATCTGGGATGGTAGTGGGAAAAGCATATGAGTAAGAAGACCAAAGTCCAGGAGACAAGAAGAAATACATCTGAATCATTTAGTTCAACAATGTTCATGCCACAAGAGGGGGGAAAGAGAAAGGAAACAAATTTTGTACTGCTTGAACCCATTTTTGGACTCTTGCTATTTATCCTAGTACTAATGTGAAGTCTTTGGGAGTTTTTAAGCAAAGCAATTTACAATGCAAATTGTATTTACATTTCAAGTAATCATTCCAGATATAGCACAGAACCATTTTTGGAGAGAGAATCAGGGAGAGCACTTTAGAGGTGTGCACCATAGCCCAGGTGAGAGAGTGATGGGCTGGAATCCATGATGGCAATGAAGATAGAAAGAGAAAAATTCATTCAAGAAATAGAGAGAAGGTAAAATCTGACAATACTTGGTGATTTGAAATGGAAATGTGAAGAAGAAAATGTCAAAAATTAATTGAGATGTCAGGTGTAGGTAGAAGTTGACATCATTTGCTGCAAAAAAAAAAAAAAAACACACAAGAAGAATACCACTTTTAGTGAAAGAGACATCTAGGTTGCTTAAAGTATGAAACAGGACTTTTCCAATTTCATGCAGGTAAATTAGGAGGGCTCAACCTTGAAGCACAAAAGATGGTGATTATGGTAACACTGGCCTTGAGACCAGGACCTGTATCAGACTCTAGAAAGATCAGTGTGATTTGGAGCTGCTACAGACTGGAATATTTCAGTGAAAAACAAAACAAAACAAAGCATTCACTCTTATTCTTGCAGTCTTGTTTTATTTGAAGGAGTAAATAATTGGGCCTTATTCAGAGCTGCAAGTTTTGGTAAGCCCTAAAATGAACAAAAAATTGTATAAAATGGAAACAATTCACCAATTCTATTCACTTAACATTTTCTGATTTTCTTCCAGGTTTAAGTATTATGATAGGCATTGTACAGTAATTACTTTATTGACCATCTTCTCTGGTGTTTGTATTAATACACAAAGAAATCTAACTTTAAAATTGTAGCATTGCTTTCAGCTGACACCAATCATTACCCGTTATCCCAATTCATTAAATCAGATTGTTTCAGCAATAAGTTACATTTTGAAGTTAACGAAATACTTAAAAGGCTGTGATGTTGTAGCTGCAGATGTAGTATGCAAAACACATTTGATTCATGTCGTTCAGCACAATTTCATCTTAAAATCTTATCTACAAAACATTTTTACACATCTATTATTCTCTTGCTTTATGTAAAGTTTATGTCATTTATCTCTATCAAATTAAGTTACATTTCTAGTTTTTCTCAACCATAAAAGACAGCATTAATTTTTACAAACATTAATGATGAACTATATTCACTCATAACTATTTATGTCTAAGTCATCTTAGATTTACTGAACAATTTCTGAGTAACTAATGGCTAGCCTTTTATTATTCTATGATGATAAACATTTTTACAGTATCCAGGCTTCAGACATATTTTTGAAAACATTTCTATATGGGTCAAAATTTAAATCAGTTGTAATATGTGATCCACTCAAATATATTCTCCAGGATGCGCTATTAAAATGAAATACCGAGGTGGTTCCCCAAGACACCAATTTAAAGTGTATATGTGCAGTGCAGGGTTACTGGACCAAGGCACAGTGTAAACAGTGAAATTTTATTTTTTGTTTTCTTTTTCCTAAGATGTTTCTTATTCCCCATTATATAAAAATATGTATTACAGGCAAAGAAAAATTAACACGAATATAAGTAAATATAAAGTATATTCACATTAATATCAGCTTTGCTTTATCTATTAAAGGATGTAACACACTTGTGGTTTTCAGGACCTTGTAACTCCTGGTTCATTGGAAAGCATAGAAATTCTTCAGAGCCTCAAGAGTTGTGTTTAACACATTATTTAAATAGTGTCCAACCACTAGTTAGATAGCTTAGCACTCAAATAGCCTTTGAAATCTCTGTAGACTCACCTCAATTGAGGAGTCCTGATAATTTACAGAAGTGTGTAGTGCACTAAGAGATCCCTGATGGATAATGTCTTTGCCTGTGGAGTGTTTTATGTGTTGATCCACTGGAGTGTGTGTGTGTGTGTGTGTCTGTGTGTAGGTGGGTGAGTATGGGTGGGCGTGGATTGTGTGTGTGTGTATGTGTTTACACTGTGGTATGTGTCTGTTGGGGTGCCACCATTTGGGATTTGGAAAAGTGAGGACCATAAACTTGTCAACATTCCTACATGCCTGCTTCATAAGAAGTGTACTGAACATGGCCAAAAGTAACTAAACCAAGTAAACAAATTAGACATTAATTAAATTTAATGCTGGGCGGGAAAGAAGTATTCAAGGCCAGGTAAAATGAAGAAATATAACCAAATGAATGAAATTTTTAGATTGATTCATAGAATGAGACAGGAATATTTTTTAAAATTTGTAGTTTCTAATGAATAACAGCATATAAAATAAGAATCATATGGCTGTCAATTGACTAAAAACTGTACATAAGATTTGAGCTAGTGAAACAACCATATATGATCTTCTAATTCCACTTTTCTATCTCAAGAATGACTTGTTAAAATGATTTTTTTTTTGAAATTTTACATTCTCATCTTGAAAGAGCTTCACAAAACTTACATGAGAATCTGGATTGTCATAAGAGGTCTGATTTTTTAATGGTATGTTTGTATTTTTGTTATGTACATCAATGTCAAGCATTCGTTTCCTGAGCTGTTCTCTACAACACAATTTAACTTGTAATGGACACTCAGTAAATGGTCGGTTGGATATTCAAATCAACACCTTAGTTCCATCAATTTTCACTTCATATAAAAATGCCTGATCTTCTATACTCACCAATGAAACAGAGAGAGATGAAGGAGGGAGAGCAGTTGAGACTGAGAGGATGACAAGCAGACCTCATTCTGCAGTGGATTTCCTACACTCTCCACTTCTGAATGCTTGGAAACACTTGCCATGCTCAAAAAATATTGGTATTTCCTAGGCAGCAAATGGGAGTTAAAGAAAGTCCATATTTCTATATTACAATAACTTACACTATAATACACAGATGGCATACATTTCTAAGCTATTTCAGTTCACAGAAAATGTAGATAAATTTAGGTGAGCAAGATGTAAGAGAAGGGTTAGTAATCAAGCTGAGTGTGATTGTGAGATTAAATCTAATATTATCTTATACAATTATTGTATAATTGCATCAGTTGACATATCTGTTGAAACAGAAGGTGGGAGAGTTTTGCATGCGCTTCCGAAATGTACTGGATGATGTTAGGAGAGAGGCGGGTCAACGTGGCTAGGCCATAAGTGTTTACTAATTGAGGCTTAGGAAAGTTAAGCTCCTAACCAGAGACTGGGAGATAGAGGCGCTAAAGTGTATAACATTTATATTTAATATATAATTAATAATACATAATAAAGTCTTAAAATGCCAGTTTTAAGTCTTTTCATTTTCTTCTTAAAAAACAGAGGTTTTATTGCGTTTGGTCCACAGTCGGTATTTCACATTATCTCATAGCGCAGGGCCCCTGGGTGGAGGGCTCTGTGTAGTACTTGGCGTGGCCTGGGGCCGGGAGAGATAGAGCAGTAGACCTGGTCAGGCCCGGAAGGGGAGAAGGAGGGCCGGGGCTCCTTAAGACCTACTGAGGGCCTGGGCGCGGTGGCTCTCGCCTGTCATCCCAACACTTTGGGAGGACGAAACAGGCGGATCACATGAGGGAAAGAGTTCCCGACCAGCCTGGCCAACATGGTGAAATCCCGTCTCTACTAAAAATACAAAAAATTAGGCAGGCGTGGTGGTGGGCGCCTGTAGTCTCAGCTACTCTGGAGGCTGAGGCAGGAGAATCGCTTAAGCTGGGAGGCTGAGGTGCAGTGAGGCGAGATTACTCCACTGTGCTTCAGCCTGGGCGACAGAGTGAGACTACATCTCAAAAAAAACAAAAAACAAAAACAAACAAAAAACCCTACTGAGGGCCACGGGGGTGGGGGAGCTAGGATGGAGAGGGGTCAGACTTAATCCTGGCAACTCAGAATTCCACTAACTTGTACGGGTCTCAGTTTCCTCACCGGGCCCCAGCATAGGTCTGAGGGTCTGAGGTCTGTCGGTCTGAGGGTCCTAGGGAAATCCAGCCACTCAGGAGCCTGAGATATTTTAGCATCGTGGCTGGGCCCCCTCTCCCAGGGGACTCATTTCCCAGCACCCTCTCCACTGTCTCCGCCCCATTCCTCGGAGAAGAAAAAAATTTTCTTTCTTTTGTTAATACTTCCTGAAACTTTTGCAGGTACAGAAACCACAAACTGATCGGCTGACAAAAAGGGGAAGAGGAGAGGCAACCAGAAACCTTCGGGGACTGGTTCCCTCCATGCCCAGGTCTCTTCTCCCCAGCACAGCTCAGCCCACAGCCTGGAAGTGCCAGCGGGGACCTTCACCCTACACGCATCAGGATATGGCCTTGATCCCTTCCCCCACAGCCCGGTGTCTCAGTCCTGCCAAGGAACCAAAGCAAGAGGAGGTGGGGAAAAAACCCTGCTGCCTGATCCCACGCTGCCACTCACAGACCCTCGGTTGACTGGCAGCACTGAACAGGTTAAAAAAAAAAAAGATGAAAACACAGAAAAACCCAACACCCAGACGGGGAGACCATGTGTGGAGAGAGCGTGCTGGGAGCCTCAGTAGCCGGTCTCCTCCTGGTAGTAAGGGGCCTCCCCTGGCCCTGGGCAGTTGCCGGCGGAGGGAGCCCCGTGGGCCACTGGGCCACCTGGCTAGTACTTGGGTTCGTATATTTGCCGGCCTAGGCCAAAGACCTGGCCGCTGTGATTGGCAACCTACGTGTAGCCCATCTTCAGGGACATGGAGGAGTTCTCACACTTGTCGATTCCCAACTTGGTGTCATAGATGTGCCGCTGGGTCCCGGGAGCCGTCATGCCCACCTGGCTGGCGCACTTGTTTGTACCCATCTGGAGGCTGATGGTCGAATTGTCCATGGGGGGCAGGATGCGGTTCTTGGGGTCGTAGAGATGCCTCCTCGTGCCATATGCGGTCATGCCTGACTGGCTGGCACATTTGTTGGTAATCTGCAGCCGGATGACGCACTGGCTGGCCTTCATGGTGGTGTCGTCGAAGTTCTGCTTCTCTGAGTACTTGTCACGGATGTCCACCCCGCTCCGCAGCCCCTTAGTCTTGGCCTTCCCTGCCAGGGCGAGAAGAGACACCCGCACCTGCATATTGTTCCCACTCTCAAACAGGTTGTTGGCCTCAAATAGGTCCACGGGATCATGCCGTAGCTGACCATTGCCTTGAGGAAGTTGGAGAGGTTTTCTAGCTAGTGCCAGTTCTACACGGAAGCCGTTGATCTTGGGGACTGAGCCCGGCTGCAGTTTGTTCACGAGTGTGCATAAAATAATCCCGTCCTTCAGGCCCTTCTGGAAGTCGGGGCGGATGGAGAGGCCAGTGAATCCCTTGATCCAGCTGCGGAGCTCTGCCTCCTTCTGGGAGTCATATTTGGGCAGAAGCCTGTTCTGGACGTCCGCCAAGAGCCTGTAGGAGGGGCCCTTGTTGAACTGCGTGGAGCTTACGGCTGGAGGGCCACCGCGGGGCGGATCCGACAGGACCAGCGGCTAAGTCTTTTTTCTAGTTCGCAATGTTTTGTTTTCACCACACCATTGTTTTACTACATATTTTATTGTATGTGTATTGTGTTAAATATACATTTTGTGTATTTAAAAATGTGTGGAAAATGTTAGACCATCTCCCTTTTTTCCACCTTCCCTTTTACCCTTTACTGCCATTTACATCCACACATCCACACACACATACATCCACACATCCACACACACATACATCCACACACACACATACTGACCAAAATTAATTTCGATATACGAATGGGTTATTTGAAGCGAAAAGTCAATCTATATTAGTAAAAGTGTCATGCCAGTATGAATTATATTTATAATCCTTTCAAGAAGAAAGAACTTGCGGCGGGGCGCTGTGGCTCACGCCTGTAATCCCAGCACTTTGGGAGGCCGAGGCGGGCTGATCATGAGGTCAGGAATTCAAGACCAGTCTGGCCAAGATGGTGAAACTTCGTCTCTACTAAAAATACAAAAAAATTAGCTGGGCGTGGTGGCGGGCGCCTGTAATCCCAGCTACTCGGGAGGCTGAAGAAGAGAATTCCTTAAACCCGGGAGGCGGAGGTTGCAGTGAGCCAAGATTGTGCCACTGCACTCTAGCCTGGGCGACAGAGCAAGACTCCGTCTCAAACCAAAAAAAAAAAAAAAAAAAAAAGAAAAAGAAAAAGAAAAAAGAAAGAACTTCCTTAATGTTTTGAAGAGACTATTCTGTATCCATTTTATAATTTTGTGGCCACTGAAAAAGGTATATTAAATCACAGACACAGTGAATGTAGTAAGTGGTAGTTTAAAATGTTAAAATGTTAAATCACGCCTGTACTCCCAGCACTTTGGGAGGCTGAGCGGGGAGGATCGCCTGAGGTTGGCAGTTCAAGACCAGCCTGGCCAACATGGTGAAACCCCTTCTCTACTAAAAATACAAAAATTAGCCAGGTATGGTGGCACAAATCTGTAATCCCAGCTACTCGGGAGGCTGAGGCAGGAGAATGGCTTGAACCCTGGAGGGGGAGGTTGCAGTGAGCTGAGATCAAGCCACTGCACTCCAGCCTGGACAACACAGTGAAACTGTCTCAAAAATAAAATAAAGTGTTGAATTTTTACAAGTCGTTGTTCCTATTCTAATTTTTGAATGCAACCACAGCCTCTAACAAAACAGCCTCGTTACACTAATTCGCTGATAATGAATTCTTAAGTAAAAGGGGAATTCCATAGAAATATATATGGCTCTTTTATGTTTAAGAAAAGTAAGAGCCTGAAAAACAGATGTGTTCTGTAAAACTGAATTACTTTCTATCCAGTTCCACTGGTTCCACTGTTTTATATCTTTATATTAAAACATATATAAATGATTGATTGATGATTTTTTTTCTTTTAGACGCTGCTGCTGAATCCATGGAGAGAAAAAGGATAAATTTCCAGAACTATGGTCCCTGTGCTCCAGTTCGTCAGGCGGGCGCGGCGGAGACGGAGACCGAGGAACGCCGCTGGGGCCATGCGGCGCTACCGCGCGTGGTGGCTCTGTGTCTGGCCTGAGGCTTCTGCTCGCTCCTTTACGCCTTCAGCCAGCTCCCCGTGTCCCCGGAGGAAGGAGCGGGCCGTGGTGGCGGGAAGCCGCAGGCCGCAGTGGCTTCCTGGCTGGCGGGAGGCGGATGCGGTGCGGTGAGAGGCGCGAGCAGCGCTTGTCCCGCTGCTCATCCCCGCAGGTGGGACAGGTGTAGTCTGAAAATACAGCCTGTTGAGAAAATGTATCTAGGTGAAAGACTGGAAGAAACTATGACCATGTTGAAGTCAGCTATTATTTTCAGGATCAAACCTCTTCAATTCCAGATTTTTGCTGAAGATCAACTACATCATAGCTTTAAAGGAAGGCTTGACAGGGGTCATTTCTACAAATATTTAATTATACAATATACTCCATAACCTTTCCAAGTGAGAATGCAGCAGAGTGGAAAAACTCTTTAAACCATGTGGTTTGCAGAGATTGTCCTTGCCGTTATTCCTGAAAGAAGTTGACTCTCACACTGATAGCCTTTTTAAAAGACCAGCTGATAATATTTGGTCTTTACTAAAGAAATTTAATTCCACACAAATTCTGCAATGGCCCCAGAACACAAGGAATGTCAAATAGGATGGTATAGTCGCTTTGCTAGGCATCCATAGTGTGGAAAAGCTGGAGTAAACTCTGGAGTTATGTTGACAAACATGACTTGAATGAGAAGGAAGTATTTCAAGAATAATATGACAACTGTGTGACTACAATGAGGAGATATACTTATGACATGGCTTAAAATATACAAGTTAAACATTACATGGGCGATCAAGATCTGTTGGATATCCTGTTTTTTCATAATCCAGAAAGCCTTTTTGTCTTTCCGTGTCAATGGAAGTGTCGTCCAGATCACTGTCTATATGGAAGCAGTTGCCAAGAAGCAGAAGAAGGAATCTTTATTTTTCACGGGAACAGAGGTGTTTACCATGATGATAAGCAACCAGCATTTAGAGCTGTTTATGAAGCACTGAGAAATTGTTCTTTTAAGATGACAATGTTCATTCATTAATAAAACCTTTAGAATTGGAACTACAAAAAATAGTGCATACATACCGTGGAAAAATTTACTAAATATTTATCAAACAATTAGCAAAAACATAAGAGATCGCTATGTCAGATCACCAAAGGAAAGGTGATTCTTGTTGCCTGCTACATCAAATGGATGAAAAGAACAAAGCATTGGAGGATAAGTATGAAGGAACTGTCTTGGGTGAAGCATTAAGGCAGGAATTATTCATCTACAGAATTTTTTTTTTTCCTGAAGAGGTTAAATGAGCAGTATTTTCAGGTAATGAAGAATAAGTTAAAATCTTGGGCTTCAACAAAGAAAAATTTTTGGCCTCTGATGTTGTGTAATGTTACTTACTATCATTCCAGTATTGATGAAAATATTATTGAATGGTTTTAGCCTGCAAACTTCTGTTGACTCATACTCTCAAGAGTGGTGGGGCTGTGAAAATGAAGAAAATGTACCTCAAACACAGTGCAAACACTCAGATGGTGAGTAGAGCGATAATTTTATGTCAGCACTAACCTCACTTTAAATGTGTGAGAGAGAAGTTTGTCTACAGGAGTAGAAACAGTTCTGTTTCTAAAGAAATGTGATGTAACCAATGTAACCATGGATGATCTATATCTGCCTTTACACATTTCATCTCTGTTTTAAAATATTTTTATGATAATCATATTTAAAATTGTTTTTAGATTATAAGGAAGCTGCATGTTAAAAATTGAGCTGTATAAGAAAGAGGAAATATAGTGAAAACTTTGGGGTTTTAATCTGTGCATGTGAGAGAGAGTGAGAAATATAGTGTTTTCATTGTGTATGCATTAAACTGTCTTGCTAAAACTCAGATCTAAGATTGTTAAGTAGATATTTGGGGAACTTTTTTATCACTTTAAATGAAAAATTTCAGCCTTACTGGGCATTCTGGAAGCAAAATATGTTATGCTGATGATAAAGTGAGAACCTTAAGAATACACTCATTTGATGGCGGAAAATGTGATGGACCAAAATGCAGAAGCTATACACGTCCTGTGAGTAGTAATTTTAGTTACAATGCAGTAGGAAAATGTGGCGCATTTAAACATTTCTTCTACCTCATAATGGCTTTGCAAGATACTTGTAAAGAAGCAAATGTCTAGAGCCTTACTTTAAGAAAGTTAAACAACTTTGGTGAATGATTTGGATTAAGATTGTTACATCCAGCTATAGAAATGTGGTTTCAATAGGGTTGATGTGAGTGAGTACCTTCCTTTTTTGAATACCACTTAAAACAGTTAACTTTTTAAGTCTTGAAGATGAGAAAAATATTGCTTATCTAATATAACTATTTTAATAGTTATCTAATTTATAGTTATCTACTATAACTATACATTCTGAATACTTAGCATGTACTGTGCTGGGGCACATATCTTATTTTCCCAGCTGCTAAACGATTATCTTCCTTCTCTCCCTGGTATTTTAATGCCCAAGTAGAAAATGGAAAATCATGAAGGAAAAATATCACTTGTGAAAATCGTGGCAGTTAGCTTTATGAAGACACAGTGGCCTCTGTGGGGACATGGGATATGCAGAAAGAGATGGCTAGTACAGTTGTTCTGTCTTCTGCAGTTCAGTCAGGGACATATTGAGAGAGGAAAGTTTAAGCAGGTACATTAGAAATTGATAACCAGCCCAGCATTCTTAGAACAGATGGGTTTAGAGAACACGAGTTGTAGTTCCTTGGCAGAATGCCATGGTGGATATGAGAAACTGTGAACTGTGTTGAAATTGAGCTTGAGCAGAAAATGAGAATACTAAAAATTTGAAGTTCAGAGGGTATGCATTAGATTATTTCTAATGGTCCCCATATATGATCATTGCCTGCCTGACTATATAAGACTCCTGTTGGGAGCTTGAGAACAGATTGCTGAGCTTAGCCCTTTGGAGACTCTGGTATGCTGTGTCTGGGATGGAGTCTGCAAAAAAAAATTTAAAGAAGAGACTTAAAAATTATACAAAACTAGAATAGTGCTTTGGTACTATCAGATTACTTGGGGGCTATTCCCACTTCGATTCTTCATATAGAGGATGTGAACAGAGAAACATGCAGATAAATCAGTCAATGCCAACTGCTGGGGGAAACGTCCATAGTCTGCAGGTTCCCACAGAAAGGATAGCACTTCCGTCCTCTCCCATGAGGGAAAAACAAAGGAGAAAAGCTTTTGGCCTCTCACCATAAGCTCATTCAGTCCTCCCCTTGGGAAGAGAAATGACTTAACTGAGGAATGTGCTTGAAAGTAGCTGTACTGGTGAAACTCAGCCTCTGTGGGTTTCTCTCTCTTTCAGAGTCAGCTCTCTTCAGGATGCGCATTTATTTCTCCCTTTGGAGGAGGCCTCAGTCCAGCTCAGCCAAGGACTGAAAGGCACATCTGGCTAATTCAAGACTGAGGTATTGGGAGGTCCCCTTGGCCCCAGATCTATGATATGTTCTCGAGTCCTGAGACCTGCTGACTCTCGTATCTCTTTTCTCAGTTGGGTCATATCTTGGGGTTATTTGTGTTCCCAGCTCTAACAGGAAGGTTCCTAAGCACTCATTTCTTCTTAACCAATTTCTGAAGGTAAAATGTTGGTGAAGAGTGCTCTTTTCTTCCTGCTACCATTAATTGGTGTTTATTTTGTGTCAGGCACTGTTGAGTATTTTACATTTCTTATCCAGTTTGATCTTTACAGCAACTTTATATGACAGACATTGTTCCCCCATTTTTCAGGCTAGAAATCTGAGGCCCAGTGTCCCACAATGGCTGTGTGGTGACACTAGGCTTTGAGCACAGATGGTTGACTTCCAAAGCCTATGTTCCTAACCATTATGCCACTCTGTGTTGTGACAGCGCCAAACATACTTTCATTCATATATATCTTTTAACTGATCATGTTCTTGTGTGATTTCTTTCAGAAAGGCTTTTACATCAAATATTGATAATGATAATAATAATGAACACATGTTGAGCACTTACCATGTCTCAAGCACTGCTCTAGAGCTTCCCATGAAAGAACCCCTCTAATCTTCAGAACAACCCTGTGAGGTAGGTGCTGCTATTACTCTGTTTTCACAAGTAAAGAAACTAAGCACAGCAGATCCACAGTCATTCTGTAGGATGCTGTGTAGAATGGCTCCCGGGACACTGGGAAAGCTCTTCTGCACCTCAGTATCTTCTTTACTGGTTCATTAATGTCTGATATTCCTGCATGAGAAAGCACAACATAGACAGAAAGCTTAATATGTATATACACACACTGAGAGATAAGGCATTGACATAACATCTCATTATAGGTATTAGAAATGCAGTCTCAAGAGCAGGTTCTCGTGGGGTGACAGGCAGGGTATTCTAGGGGAAGGAATATCCCAAGAAAGGTGGCATTACAAAGGAAGAGGAGAAAGAAAGATGTAAATGAGGAGACACTGATTTTCTTCCATTGCAAAGTTTTCCAAGGCTGGCCCCTTTTCTATTACATTCTTACCCAGTAACTCATACTTTCCCTAGAGCTCTTGCAAGAAAGAACTATTGAGAAAGTAGCCCATCTGAAAGTACATTTCCTGCTGTTTATCTGCTTCCAGAACTGGCTGAAGTTTACTTTTTGGTTCTCCAGAGACCTAGCTTCTTCCAATGTGGTCTATTTAATCTCCTGTCATGTGGGAAATTATATTCAAAATCTCCATGATCCTCTGTCCATAGTAAGTTATGCATGTAGTGAGAAGTACATGCCACAAGGTCTTGAGATTATATCTGCAATGTGTTGCTGCTGGCTGTTGATCAAGATAGGCTGGGAGAAGATCATTTTCAGGTGTGAAAAACTGTCACCTTTATCAAATAATTCTTCTTGCATATTTCCCAAGACGTTGTAGCCTGTCTAAACTTGGGAGGTTAATTTTGTAGCATTCATTATGACCGAAAATGTAGTTCACACAATCATGATGCTCTCTTTATTAGGTGTTACTGTTAAACAATATTAAAATACACACAATGTGGCTGGTCTTTTGTAAGCTACATGGCATGTTTACTTCTTTGCCAGGTTTCTTAATTGCATCTCTTCATCTTTCCGAATACCAGTGTCACTGTCACCCACAATATTTGCTGTTTTGAGCACATGGTTTACCTTTTATTTTGCCCAATAATAGAATATGATGGGGACATCTTATCTGAGTGTTTCATAGTATGCTGTAGTTTGAATTCTTGGCTGTTGGTTTCCCAGAGTCCCAGCTCCTGCCACTGCATTCTGCCTTTGTAAATGGAGAATAATGGCTCTAAAAAAAATTCACCTAAGAATGTCATGATAGTGGAGAGGGAGGACCATGGAAATGCTAAAGCCACCCACTCGGCTTCTGTAAATCATGCAGAGGATCAGGAAAATGATTGAAAGTAACGTATCCCAAACAAAGCAGTCAGCTGTACAATTCAAGACCTGTGTCTGGCTGTAAAAAAAAAACAAAAAACAAACAAACAAAAAACACAAACAAACAAAAAAATGGAAAGAATAACCTTGCTACTCATCTTGTTCAAAAAACTGGAGCAGATTGAGTATCTAGACTCAGTTTCAGAAGAAATGTTAAATATTGACAGGGGCATATTCAAGATCTTTAGGATTTTTTGGGGGGAGGAGAGGGGAACATAAAAAAGCAATAATAAAGATAAATTTGAATGCAGGAAAAATACACATAATCCATGAATCTAACACCTGTTTTCGCATGTTTATCATCTTTGTCCCTATGTAGATCTATGTTTTCTTTCACAGTTGCAGTCATAGAATATATTCTATTCTCTAAGCTTTTATCCTTCAACATTATAGGAGAATGTTGTTCCATGTTACCACATAGCCAACTGTTTCAAAACTTGTCTAGTAAATTCTGTGCTGTTGTTTTCACAGGGAGAAACATGCACATGTATATTACTTTTTTTTTTCTGTTGAATCATACTCTTGGAATAAATTTTTTTCAGTGAGGTTTTTGGTTCCAAAAAGTATAAACATTTTGGTGATCTTTAGTAAGTTGTATTGCTTTCCAAAGAAGTGATAGGAATTATACTTGCCACCCCAACAGTGAAAGAATTGCAATTTAATTTCAATGTAAAAGAGGATGCTACTGTTGCTATTATATTTTCTATTATAATGAAAACCGTTAAAGATTTAAATCAAGCTGGATTGTCTTTCAGGAGCTGCTGTTAAATGAACACCTTGATACTTTCGTTCTTGGAGAGAAATGAGCCAAGGAGGAAGACCATCTAAAAAAAACCACTAGACAATTTGTGCTCACTGGAGTGGTCTCTGCTGGGCAAAAGGTCTTTAGAATGACTCGTGGATTTTCTGGCAAGTGGCAAACCATACAAGTGCTATGTCAGGCCAGGGAGACAGGTGCAGCCCTGTCAGTGTCAAAGAAGAACACTGGTAGCAGAAGAGCTAAGAGTGAATGAAAATTGAATTATCTTTATTTCTAGGACTTGTCTATTGAGAAACAACAGTGCTGGCAACCATTTACTACCAACAAGAGGCAGTTCCAAGAGAAGAATATAAAATATGCTCTGCTCAATCCCACGAAACTCAGAGTGTCTCACAATGGCCAATTTCTTATTTTTATCCTGTCCAGAGACAAGGAAGGATGCATCAGGGAGCTGCTAGCCTCTGCGATGAATAACTTGAGTCAGGCTGCAACATGTGAAAGAATTCAGCTGGTCAGGATTTATAACACTAGCTGGATTTTTTGCTTTCTTTGGGGTTCATGAAGCATGGTGTTGTGAGATACCACAGGAGTCCCAGAGTAAAGTTACATACCTATTTCTCTTCCTTATTTTTATTTTTTTGGCATGTTCATACTATTTTATTACCAACATCGTTGGCATCCCTGAGTATGAGAGTTCAGAAGAAACTTAGAGGCTATTGTCTGATTCAATCCTTGCAGCTTACAAAAAGAAATGTGGGGAGCAGTCACTGTGTGACTAGCCTGAGGTCACTCAGGAAGTTAGAGGCAGAACTGCAGCCAGGGTCACCTCTCTTTACTGCTACTAGTGTGCTCCTTCTACTGCACCCTGATCATAAAACATCTCCCAACCCAGGAACAAGGTCTACCGCATAGGTGGGCACAGCAGCGTGATCACTCTCTCAGTCGTCTGTACTCCTCCTTTGCTTTGACCAAAGACACAGGAAGGGACCTTTTGCCCCACATAAAACACCTCTCAGAGGCTTGGCAACAACAACAGATAATAGAGAGCATTGACCTAAGACCAACATTTCAACCATGGTGTCAAAACAATATTTTATTTCAGCAAAGAAAAACTATGTCACAAGTGGATTATTATTACTAATAATCAGACTAGTGGTACTTGCGAATGACTTGGTTTCATACTCACACTTGGACAACTATGCACACTGAGTATAACTGACCTTATGAGAACATCATTCTCACTAAGATTATGATGTGCTTTCTCACGTGGGAACTGTACATAATATTGCGTGTACACTTGGGAGGATGTCCTGCCTGTGATGTTGTCTTTCAGGGGAAGAAGAATGGTTGAGAACTGAGGGTATATTAAACATTTACTCCTCCAGATTTTTCAAGATTTCTGTTAAGCCAGATCAGAAGAAAGCCATCTATTTGGATTGCATCACTCTAACCTGGTAAGTCGAATTGTCTACACAGAATTATAATTTCACGATATGTCCAGATTACTTACCAAGAGCCAATTTGAGACACCAACAGGACTAGTAAAACATCTTTGCACTGTGGGTAGCGTTGCTATCAAAGACCTTATACATTATGCCATTCAAGAACCTTTATATTAAGATCCTTATGGAAAATCCTTCCCAAAGTTTAACCCTATGATAAAGGGTTTTTTTCTCCTGGTAACATAGTGGGCAATTGGGAACTGTTTAACCCAATGCATTGATTTCATTGATTGTTTTGGTTGCCGAGAAGTATGGATGCTCAGAATAGGTTTTCTTGTTTTCAACTGCTAATTCCTTTATTTAAATTGTAATAAATGTTTCCCTTTACTTCTTTCCTTTTTCTTTTTAAGAAATTTAATGTATTTCATAATAAATTATAAATTATCAATAGATCAATTAGCATAGAATAGTTTGGAATAATGCTTAGAGATCTCCCATTGAAAAAGACCCCAGTACCATAGGGTTCACAGCTGAGTGTTAACTGAACTTGAACAAATTCTGATTTTATTTAAAATGTTCAAAGCCTAGAAAAAAAACTCCTGCAGATCACATGGGGCACATAATAACTAAAAAAGAAAGAAACAAAGAGGGGTGGCTTTCTTCAATTAATTTTATAGTGTAATATCAAAGCTTAATAGTTAATATATTTCATCTAATGTAGAATGTCAATGTTTAGAAATCAGACATTATTTCATGTACCATTAGAGATATACTGCCAATTAAACTGTGACTTCCTTAGCAAAAGCAAAACAAGGAATTTTAAAGATATTAAAACATGTAAAGAAGAATATAAGCACTATACTCCCAACCCCTTCAAGTAACATGTTAATATTTTATTGCATTGGTTTTCAGTAATTACTTTTAATAAAATAAATCATTATTAGCTAATGTTCCACCCCTACCACTCCAATCTCATTCTCCTTCTAGGTCCCCCAGGCCCAATTGCTAAAATAAATTTGTTGTACACTTTAAAGTCAATTTTCTATACGTTTGCACATAAATATGTGCATTCATAGAAAGTATTTTTGTGCCGAGAAGGTAGAATAAGCCCTTCAAAGTTGTTGATGTTCAGATTCCAGTTGGCAAAAGTCTTACACATGTGGCATTAAATATTTTCAGTATTAAACATGCACATTCCACAAGTTCAGCAGTTCTGTAATATACATCCAGAGTCTGCCCTGAGGGATGCTTACAACCTTAGTATAAACTCTCACTCACCCCTTTTAGAGAATAAAACTTACACCTATGTAATGACCAGTCCAGGTACAAGGGTGTCCTCTGAGAACATTCAGGAGAAAGAGTGGTGGCATCGGCAGGAAAGTGCAGTGGAAAGGAGGAGCTGACTTTGGCAGGAAAAAGAACGATATTACTTTGAATTTATCAACTCTGACGTAACATCCTGATAAAAAGTGCCATATCCAAATCACGTTGAAGATTCTCAAAGGACAGTACCAAAGTTGAATAAAAACACAGTGCCTCAAATGGGAAGTGGTATAGAAAGGCCTGAGGCTGGGGTATGGAGGCACACGGTGTGCCGAGAACGAGGGAAGAGAAGAGTGAACAACTGCTCGGGGTCGGGTTGCATTGATGGCGAGAGATGGGTGTAACATGCATTTATGAGGACAGACATGATCAGGTTTAAAGAAAAAGAATTTTTTCTTTTTCCAGCAGTCCCACTATGGGGCATTTATCTACAGGAAAGGAAATCAGCATATTTAGGAGATACCTGCACCCTCATGTTTATAGCAGCCACTATTCACAGTAGCCAAGATTAGAATCAACCTAAATGTCCAAAAACATAATAGATTAAAAATGTAGTATCTATTCACAGTGGAGTACTATTTAGCCGTAAAAATAATGAAATCCTGTCCTTGGCTGCAACATGGATCAGCCTGGAACACTACATTAAGTGAAATAACCTAGGCACAGAATTATAAATCTTGCATGTTCTCACTCATATGTGGGAGCTAAAAAAAAACGAACTGAGCTCATGGAAGTGGAGAGTAGAATTCTGGTTATTACAGGCTGGGGAGAGCAACAGGGAGAAGAGGACAGGGAGAGGTTGGTTAACAAATACAAACTTACAGCTAGATAGGAGTAATGAGCACACCTATGACACCAAGCTGGGAATCGACAAGTGTGACAACTCCTCCACGTCCCTGAAGATGGGATACACGCAGGGCGCTCATCAGAGCGGCCAGGCCTTCGGCATGGGCCTACAGATATACGACCCCAGGTACTACTGGGGAGGCCCAGTGGCCCACGGCGCTCCCTCGGGCTCCGGCCCCTGAATATCTCCCTTACTACCAGGAGGAGACCGGCTACTGAGGCTCCCAGCACGCTCTCTCCACACATGATCTCCCCTCTGGGTGTTTGGGTTTTTCTGTGTTTTCATCTTTTTTTTTTTAAACCTGTTCAGTGCTGCCAGTCAACCGAGGGTCTGTGAGTGGCAGCGTGGGATCAGGCAGCAGGGATTTTTCCCCCACCTCCCCCTGCTTTGGTTCCTTCTCAGGACTGAGCCACCGGGCTGTGGGGGAAGGGATCAAGGCCATATCCTGATGCGTGTAGGGTGAAGGTGCCCGCTGGCACTTCCAGGCTGTAGGCTGAGCTGTGCTGGAGAGAAGAGACCTGGACATGGAGGGAACCGGTCCCTGAAGGTTTCTGGTTGCCTCTCCTCTTCCCCTTTTCTCAGCCTATCAGTAAGTGGTTTCTGTACCCGCAAAAGTTTCAGGAAGTATTAACAAAATAAAAAAAATTTTTTTTCCCCGAGGAATGGGGCGGGGACAGTGGAGAGGGTGCTAGGAAGTGTGTCCCCTGGGAGAGGGGGCTCAGCCACGATGCTAAAATATCTCAGGCTCCTGAGCAGCTGGATTTCCCTAGGACCCTCAGACCAACAGACCTCAGACCTACGCTGGGGCTCCTTGAGGAAACTGAGGCCCGTACAAGGTAGTGGAATTTTGAGTTGTCAGGGTTAAGCCTGACCCATCTCCATCCTGCTCCCCCACCTCCGTGGCCCTCAGTAGGGCTTTTTGTTTGTTTTTGTTTTTTTGAGATGTAGTCTCACTCTGTCGCCCAGGCTGAAGCGCACTGGAGTAATCTCGCCTCACTGCACCTCGGCCTACCGGGCTCAAGCGATTCTCCTGCCTCAGCCTCCAGAGTAGCTGGGACTACAGGCGCCCACCACCACGCCTGCCTAAATTTTTTGTATTTTTAGTAGAGACGGGATTTCACCATGTTGGCCAGGCTGGTTTGGAACTCTTTCCCTCATGTGATCCGCCTGTTTCGTCCTCCCAAAGTGTTGGGATGACAGGCGAGAGCCACCGCGCCCAGGCCCTCAGTAGGTCTTAAGGAGCCCCGGCCCTCCTTCTCCCCTTCCGGGCCTGACCAGGTCTACTGCTCTATCTCTCCCGGCCCCAGGCCACGCCAAGTACTGCACAGAGCCCTCCACCCAGGGGCCCTGCGCTATGAGATAATGTGAAATACCGACTGTGGACCAAACGCAATAAAACCTCTGTTTTTAAGAAGAAAATGAAAAGACTTAAAATTGGCATTTTAAGACTTTACTATATATTATTAAATATATATTAAATATAAATGTTATACAATTTAGCGCCTCTATCTCCCAGTCTCTGGTTAGGAACTTAACTTTCCTAAGCCTCAATTAGTAAACACTTATGGCCTAGCCACGTTGACCCGCCTCTCTCCTAACATCATCCAGTACATTTCGGAAGCGCATGCAAAACTCTCCCACCTTCTGTTTCAACAGATATGTCAACTGATACAATTATACAATAATTGCATAATATCAGATTTAATCTCACAATCACACTCAGCTTGATTACTAACCCTTCTCCTACACCTTGCTCACCTAAATTTATCTACATTTTCTATGAATTGAAATAGCTTAGAAATGTATGTTGTCTGTGTATTATAGTGTAAGTTATTGTAATATAGAAATATGGACTTTCTTTAACTCCCATTTGCTGCCTAGGAAATACCAATATTTTCTAAGCATGGCAAGTGTTTCCAAGCATTCAGAAGTGGAGAGTGTAGGAAATCCACTGCAGAATGAGGTCTGCTCGTCATCCTCTCAGTCTCAACTGCTCTCCCTCCTTCATCTCTCTCTGTTTCATTGGTGAGTATAGAAGATCAGGCATTTTTATATGAAATGAAAATTGATGGAACTAAGGTGTTGATTTGAATATCCAACCGACCTTTTATTGAGTGTCTATTACAAGTTAAATTGTGTTGTAGAGAACAGCTCAGGAAACGAATGCTTGACATTGATGTACATAACAGAAATACAAACATGCCATTAAAAAATCAGACCTCTTATGAGCATCCAGATTCTCACGTAAGTTTTGTGAAGCTCTTTCAAAATGAGAATGTAAAATTTCAAAAAAAACATCATTTTCACAAGTCATTCTTGAGACAGAAAAGTGGAAATAGAAGTTCATATATGGTTGTTTCACTATCTCTAATCTTATGTACAGTTTTTAGTCAGTTGACAGCCATATAATTCTTAGTTTTATATACTGATAGTCATTAGAAATTACAAATTTTAAAAAATATTCATGTCTCATTCTACGAATCAATGTAAAAATTTCATTCACTTGGTTATATTTCTTCATTTTACCTGGCCTTGACTACTTCTTTCCTGCCCAGCATTAAATTTAATTAATGTCTAATTTGTTTACTTGGTTTAGTTATTTTGGCCATGTTCAGTACACTTGTTATGAAGCAGGCATGTAGGAATGTTGACAAGTTTATGGTCCTCACTCTTCCAAATCCCTAATGGCGGCACCCCAACAGACACATACCACAATGTAAACACATACACACACACACAATCCGTGCCCACCCATACTCACCCACGTACACACAGACACACACACACACTCCAGTGGATCAACACATAAAACACTCCACAGGCAGGCATCGTACAGCAGGGATCTCTTAGTGCACTACACACTTCTGTAAATTATCAGGACTCTTCAATTGAGGTGAGTCTACAGAGATTTCAAAAGCTATTTGAGTGTTAAGCTATCTAACTAGTGGTTGGACACTATTTAAATAATGCATTAAACACAACTCTTGAGGCTCTGAAGAATTTCTGTGCTTTCCAATTCACCAGGAGTTACAAGGTCCTGAAAACCACAACTGTGTTACATCCTTTAATAGATAAAGCAAAGCTGATTTTAATGTGAATATACTTTATAGTTATTTCTATTCCTGTTAATTTTTGTTTGCTTGTAATACACATTTTTATGTAACTGGGAGTAAGGAACATCTTAGGAAAAAGAAAACAAAAAATAAAATTTCGCTGTTTACACTGTGCCTTGGTCCAGTAACCCTGCACTGCACATATACACTTTAAATTGGTGCCTTGGGGAACCACTTCGGTATTTCTTTTTTTTTTCTTTTATGTTGTAAACCTTTCTTGTAAAAATAAACAAAAAACAAAAAAAAGACAAACAAACACATTAGACTATGTCAACATGAGGTCAGGATAATCAATATTACTGTCTGAACCTCCACATCTTGTCCCACTGAAAAGGCTTCAGAGATAATTACACTCATGGAGTTGTTATTTCCTATGGTAATGATGCTTCTTTCTGTAATACTTCCTGAAAGATTTGCTTGAGGCTATTGTACAGATTTAACTGTTTTTCCATAAGTAGAAGGGGTAATTCTAATGATAAAAATTGTAGTATATAAAACAAATAAACCAGTAACAGAGTTTATCATTATCTAATACTATGTACTGCACACAATTGTATGTGTACTTTAGTATCACTGAAAGAAGAGCAAATTTGTTTACACCATCATCACCACAAACAGTAGCAATACATTTTGCTACAATGTTAGGTGGCTTACAATATCACTGGATGATAGAAATTTTTCAGGGCCATTAGACTCTTATGAGGTCAACATCATACATATATGGTCTGTCATTGACCAAAACATAATTATGTGGCACATGAGTGTATATATCAGATACATCAATCAATATATTCAACATTTCTCCCCTGCTTATCCTAATGATAAAGATGATATAAAATGTAATTTAAAAATATAAGAAGAAATGGTGTAATGGTCTCTATATTAAAAACTAGAGTTAAATTGTTTAAAAAATTATAAGTAGATGCTAAATACACAGATTGAAATACATTAAATACATTAAGAATGTTTGTTCTGTTTCTTATATATTGCTGGTTTTCTGTCATTGAAAGTTTAATTTAGACCTCCTTATTTCATGTAATCACCCCAATAATTTGTCTTACAAACAATTAACAGAAGTTAACACTATATAACATAGTTGTATATTGTCTTACTCTTACAATGGGATACTTTACTTTTCATGAGGGAAACAGTAAGCTATAAAGTTTACACAATCTGAGATGTAGATAAAGATTGATGTGCAAGATTGCTTCTAGATATATCACTTTATAATGGTAACATAAAAAAAGGAAAGTAATGTGTAAAATATCTTCTAATGCAACCCTTTCCACTCTTCCTGACTCATTGGCCTTTTTTTTTTTTTTGACTTCTCAGGAATACATTAGGAGGCTCCCTCATCCTCTGGCTTCAGGTTAGGTTCAGCCTGTGGAGAACCCTGTAAGAAGGCAGAAAGGAAGAGGAGAAAAGGGTCATGGTGTTTATTCTGTTGGTCTCTTCCCCATGAGGCTGTCTTCCCTACATGTGTCTCTTTACAGAAGGTCACTTTTGTTCTCCAGGTGGTCTGATCTTCTACTCCTTCTTTTTCCATGTTTTGTTTTTATCCTCACTGAGCGCCAGTTCCAGATTTATTGCTTACAATTCTTTCATGCTCCTTCCTTTGTATGGAAGCATTCCTCAAATTATTCTTAGTTGTATTTACCAACTGTTTTCTGTTGAAATTCTGACTAATCCAGAATATAAAACTTTTTAGAGTCCAGTCATTCTTTGCCATGTTCTGTTTCCCCCCATCTCTGTGGCTATGAAAACATGTATCAAATATTTTACCTGACTCGCAGGAAGGGGAAGTCCCACTGCTTTGCCTGTTTTGGATAGGTAGCATCAGTTAAACTAAACCTTTCATAAACTACTGATACATCAGTGGTTTCTTGTTACATAGAATGAACAGTATTCACCAGAATAACATCCTGACTAGCAAACACATCAATTGCCACTCGATGTTCTAAGTGTTATGAGTAAAATAAAAACTGAATAAAGATTTTGCCCTCAGGATGTTTATGTTCTCCTACGTGAGAAAGATAATTAAAAATACAAAATATAATATCAATTTTTGAATCATAAGTGTTACGCAGAAAGTGAATTAGGGTAAATTTCCATGCTTGTAGTTTTGCTTATGGTTTACTATTTGTATTCATTTTTTAGGACTGTCATACAAAATACCACAAACTGGGTAGCTTAAAACATCAAAAGCTTATTCTCTCAGTTTTGGAGGTCAGAAATTCAAAATCAAGATGTTAGCAATACCATGCTCCCTCTGAAACCTGAAGGAGAGAATCCTTCTTTACCTCTTGTCTTCAGGTGCCAGTTATCAATTCTTGGCACATTTTTTGGCAGGCAACTGCATCAGTTTGTGACTCTGTCATCACAGGACATTCTCCCTATATGTATGTATCTCTGTGCCCAATTCTTATAAGGACAGCACTCACCTGACCTCATCTTAACTAGTGACATCTGCAATAGCTCTATTATCAAATAAGTTCACATTTTAAGGTACTGGAGTTTAGCACTTCATTGTATCTTTTGAACAGACACAATTAAGCTCATATGTAATAAATATTAGTATTCAAATTAAGTATATCCTACACTTAAAATATACTGATAAAATAATTTGTAATTTCTAAAGACCTCATAATCATACAATCAATATTTATAACAGATTTCTCTTCATTTTGTTATCTATAAATCTGTATTTTTGTTTTTAGTTACAACCATGACATCCCCAGAAAGCTTTTCTATACAGAGAAGTGGCTCTGAAACTGTTATCAACATCTAAACTTTTGTAAAAATTGAAACTATTGTAATTTCAATTTACCTGAAGAATGTTTTCTTTTGATGTATTTGAACTGAGTATCCCTGTGATTGACAGGATGAAATGTTTATGAAATAGATCAATATTGCTCATTGTGATATTCATCATTGAATAATTATATTTTTATTTTGTCAATTCTGAGTTATTTGGAAACAAAAATCCACAGAATGTTACCTTATATAAATATGTTAATACATTCTTGATTATTAATAAATCTGTTACTACAATGTCATATCCTCTCAGTAATAAAAGCATATTTAATTTATGCTTTTATCCATTAGAAAACAGTGAAGCTAGAAATTATTTAAAATTTTCCCCTAAGAAATATGTGGAAAAAATAAGAAAATTTATATTTTAAAATGAAATTGCATTAAGAAGCCAACATTGATGCATTTATTGACTAAAGACCAGAGTTTACATTAGGGTTCACTCTTTGTATTATACAGTTCCATGGGTTTTGCTAAATGCATGATGTCATGTATCCACCATTACAGAATCATAGATAATAATTTCACTGCCCTAAAAATTCCCTGTGCTCCACCTACTTATCCCCCACATGCCCAACTCCTGGTAATGACTAAACTTTGCACTAGCTCTATAGTTTCGCCTTTTCTAGAAGATTATATACTTGGACTCATACAATATGTAGACTTTTCAGACTGGCTTCTTTCACATAGAAATATGCATTCAAATTTCCTCCATGTCTAATCATGACTGGATGGCTTATTTTTTTACCCCTGATAATTATGTCATTGTATGGATATAGCAGAGTTTGTTTATCTAATTAAGGAATGATTACCTATTAAAGGATAAGCTGGGTGCTTCTAAGTTTTAGTAAGTAAGAATATAGCTGCACATGCAATAAACATTTGCATGCAAGTTTCTGTGTGGTACAGTATACCATTTCTTTGTTCTTAAATACTTTTCACTGGTGTGAACCAATGAGATGCTAACATTGCATTGCTCGTACTTGGTTGGTTTCTAAACTTTACTTACTTTTACAATTTTTAAAGAGAAGTTTCTATTGCCAGTTTTTTAAAGTGATATGCTCTGCTGGCCTTGACATAACAATACACCATCATTAGCTTTTAAGTCCTTAATATGCTCAAAAAATTAGAGAGCAACTATATCCATGAACCACCATCTAGATTGCAGGAATTAAAGGGAGAACAAATGTTCATTGAATAGATGCAATTTACCAGGACTTATGCTAAGCATTACAGATCTATAATCTCTTTTTATATATATATATATATATATATATATATATATATACACACACACACACACACACACACACACACACACACACATATATATAAGAAAATTAAGGTGAGAAAGTAATAAACAATGCTAATTAGCTCTGTTTTTAAAAGTAACAATCCAAACTTAAACTCAAATTATTTTTACTGTAAAACCACTGTAGAAAAATAAAAACAATTAAATTCAGAGTTCTATATTGCATACTAACTGTAAACCACATCATTGTTCAGATTGATTTTTTTAACAGATCAAAACATATTTAATCCGTTGCATTGAATTTAATGCATTGTGTTGCTACTCCTTATTTTATTTTGTTTTATTTTACTCAATTTTATATTTTATTTTCTTTCTAGTAGAATATTAGCAGGTACATCTGAATACCAGAATGTAAAGAAAGGAAGAACAGATCCAAATAAATATTTAAAGTAATAATGGCTAAGAATTTTCCAAAATTAACAGCAGATACTGAATACAGATTCAAGAAGTGCAGAGAATACCAAGCAGAATAAATGTCAAAAATCTATACTTAGGTATATATTTTTTAAACCAAAGAAAATCAAAGACAGAGAGACATACTGAAAGGAGCCAAGGGTAAACAAGAAAACTTACCTGTAAATAAATAAGGCTAAGAATTACAGTTGGTTTTTCATTAGATGAAAGCAAGAAGAGAGTGGGGGGAAATACTTAAAGTGTTGAAAGTGAAACACACAGAGACACACACACCATCTACATTTCTTTTCTTTTTTTTTTTTTTTGGAGACTGGAGTGCAGTGGTGTAATCTTGGCTCACTGCAACCCCCACCTCCTGGGCAAGCAATTTCTCCTGCCTCAGCCTCCCGAGTAGCTAGGACTACAGGTGCATGCCATCACACCTGGCTAATTAGTTTTGCATTTTTAGTAGAGACGGGATTTCACTGTATTAGCCAGGATGGTCTCAATCTCCTGACCTCGTGATCTGCTCGCCTCGGCCTCCCAAAGTGCTGGGATTACAGGTGTGAGCCATCGCATCTGGCCTACATTTCTATATCTAATAGAATTATCCTGCAATAGTGTAGAAGAAATAAAGACCTTCTCAGACAAACAAAAACTGAGAAAGTTTATGGTCAGTAGACATGCCTTGCAAGGAATGTTCAAAGAAGTTCCTAGGGAGAAGAAAAAGGGTATAGGTCAGAAATTGGTCTATATAAAGAAAGGAAGAATATCATAGAAGGAATGAATGAAACTAAAATAAAATGTTTTATTTTCTTATTCTTAATTGACCTAAAAGATAATATTTTGTTTAAAAGGAATAACTGTAACAATGTATTGAATGAATATAGTATATAAATGAATACATTAAATGGCAGTAGTGTCATAAATAATGGTAGGAATTGGGATTACTTGTATCTTAGTTTGCTCAGGCTTTTATAACAGGATACCATACACTAGGTGGCTTATAATCAACAAAAATGCAGTTTTCAGTTCTGAGACTGGGAAGTCCAAGGTCAAGCCATGTGCATATTAAGTGTCTGGCAAGGGCTTGTTCATAGAGGATGGGTCACTGGGATTTCACACGGCAGAAGAGCAAATTAGCTCTCTAGGGTTTCTTTTGTAAAGGCACTAATTCTATCCATAACAGTTTGCCCTCATGACCTAATCACTTCCCACAGACCCATCTCCAAATACTCTTACCATAGGGATTAGGTTTCAACATACACATTTTGGGGGAATAGGGGAATACAAATATTGAGTCTGTAACACTCTTGTAAAGTGATATTTGTGTTGAGTTATTCAAAGTCTTATTTAAAGGTAGATTGAGATTAGTTAAAAATGTGTATTGCAAACTCACATAAATCACTAAAACTGTTCTAAAGTATAACTGACATGCTAGGAGAGGAAATGTAATGGGATTATTTTAAGTGTCAATTAAAACAATAGAAATAAGAAAAAGAGTGATTGTTGGGAGGCAAAGAATAAATGATATGAATAGAAAATAGTTATAAACATAATAAATACCAGCCCAACTTTTTTACCACCCAATAATTACTTTAAATGTGCATGATCTAAATATACCAATTTACAAGACAGCCATTGTCAGAGAAAAACAAAATAAGACATCTAGTTAACAATCTTTTTCTTTCTTTATTTAATAAACCTGAACAACATTTTACATCTAATTTAATCCCAGCACTTTGGGAGGCGGAGGCGGGCAGATCACGAGGTCAGGAGATCGAGACCATCCTGGCTAACACGGTGAAACCCCGTCTCTACTAAAAATACAAAAAAATTAGCCGGGCGTGGTGGCGGGCACCTGTAGTCCCAGCTACTCGGAGAGGCTGAGACAGGAGAATGGCGTGAACCCGGGAGACGGAGGTTTCAGTGAGCCGAGATCGCGCCACTGCACTCCAGCCTGGGCAACAGAGCGAGACTCCGTCTCAAAAAAAAAAAAGAAAAGTTGATGAGTAATTTTTGTCATATGGAGTTCAGTGATATTTATAATAAAAATTGCATACCACACAACTGATCAAAGCACAGCATATCCGTGCCACCGTAGTCTTACTTATGGCTACCTGTCCAGAGCTCACTTTGAAAAGTCACTTCCCTACTGAAATTCATGACACTTATGGAATTGTCAGAATCTATAAAGAATGTATAAGGAATTTTTATAAATTATGAATTACTCTAAGTAAGATATTTTGTTAAAGCAGCAGGAATGTCCTAAAACACCATGTGATGGGAACAAGAAATGACATCCTTAGTCATAAGCAAAACTTGTTGATGAAATGGCTAAAAAATAAATATGCCCAACTCAGCATCATTAACAAGGGAAATCTCATAGGTGATAAGGAACAGAACCTGGCCCTAAGGTTTCTAATAGGGCCAAAGTCTCCCACTTCATGTTTTACTCCTTTGGGTGTCTCTATGCAGTAAACTCACTAGTTTAGGTACTAGGGAACAGTTGGTTTAGAAAGGTCATGCCAAAAGGTCAATATAAATTTCTTCACTGGCCTTCTTTTAGAGTAATGAGACCTTTCTGTAAAATAAAGATGGTTTTGTTGCATATCCATACAGCAACCTATCATTTATAGGAGCTATTCTTTCTGCAACATCCATATTAATACCCAGATGAAAAGTGAACCAAAATAAAAATAAGATAAAAAGATGAATGAATTTTTTTTCTTAATTTGGGCAAAATTACTTCAAAATGTTTACAGTATATACAACATCTCAAAATATGTAATTGGAAAGAAAATTTTACAAACTAAAAATATTTACATTGTGCATGTTTTGTTTTTTTATTTAGAAATAAAAGCCAAACAGGTACCCAGAGAAGCCAAATACAAGATAATAATTACTTTGAACACTTTTTCATTCAAGCAAATTTCTAACTGTGAATGTAGGGTTACAAGTACATTCCAGAAAGTGAAGGTACATTCGGTCTACTAAATTTCTTGGCCATGATTTTCTAAATTTTACTGAACTTGGAATCACAGGACTGGGGAATATTCATTGGGGAATATAAAAAGTAGCTTTCTCATTTTTGCAGTGATTTCATATAAAAGAAGAAACATTATTTATATAAAATATTTTCTTCACATGAAAATTTGGTTGGTATATCTGTGCTATTTTACCTTTTGCTAGATATATGTTAATAACTTCAGAAAATATAATACGTGACACATTTTGATTTATCTTCTGTCTTCATATATCCCAAAGCTTGATTTAAAATGAAGATAAATCATAAAACACTCAATGATTTTGTATGTTATATTCAAAATAAGGCCACATTGATCCAAAATCACTCTGTAGTATTCAGTTACTTAGAGGAGCATGTTAAAGTTTTCATACCCATATAGGATAATCAATTGTAAGAATTTCTGTCATTTGCCTCAATGGTGGTAACAATGTTTATTTATTAGTAGAATAAAGAGAATTTATTTCCAAGAAATGCAAGAGTTTTATGTATTTTGCATTTAAAAATTAAGTACAGTTCAATGAGTGTTTTGATTTAAAAAAATAAAAATGAACAGAATTTTAAACTACACTTATGATGTAGCCATGTGGCCAAAATACTAACAATCTGACTTAAAATATATCTTCATCTAATTATTCCTTCTGTGCAAAAGATGAATTGGATTTGTTGGGAAGGATGCTTTGAAAGCATGAATTTAATTTTCCTTCTTCCAGGGTATCTATTTCTTCCATCATTGTAAGTAGGAATTGCTTACTCACATGCAAAAATGCAAACACTGGTTTTTAAGTGCTATCTGGAAGAAATACTAGAATACATATATTCTACATACATATAATATTTACAATACATATTCAAGATATCTATAGATACATAAAAATAAACATTTAATGAAAATTGAAAATATTAGAAAGGCCTAAGGTACTTCAGGTAGGTAATCTCATTTATTTTTACAGGAAAAGGATATTTCCCAATAACATTAAAGCTTATATAAAATTTGATAATTGGTTAAGTCAAGCTTCTAATAAGTGGTAAATAAAGATTTACTTGTTAGTATCCATTATATGAGTATTAGTTCATTCTCACACTGCCATGAAGACATACGCAAGACTGGAGACTGAGTAATCTATAAAGAAAATAGGTTTAATTGACTCACAGTTCTGGGGAGGCCTCAGAAAACTTACAATCATGGCAGAATGCAAGAGAAGCAGGTACCTTCTTCACAGGGTGGCAAGACTCAATGAGTGCAACCAGGGGAAATGTCAGATGCTTATAAAACCATCAAATCTCAAGATAACTCGCTCACTATAATGAGAACAGCATGGGGGAAACCACCTTCATGATCTACTTACTTCCATCTGGTCCTGCTCTTGACACATGAGGATTATGGAGATTACAATTCAAGGTGATATTTGGGTGGGGACACAGAGCCAAACCCTACAGTATGTATGGTATCCTACTATGTATTGCTTGAATCTACACAATACAGTTCTGTCTCTTCAAATGGATTCCAGCTGAGGATAGTAAGGAACAAAATTGACACATAATATGTAGAAAATAATGTATCAACAAAATGTATTATATAATAATTTTCTTCATTAAATAATATTTTTTAGTAAGAATTATGTTAGGTGCTGTAGGAATAAGAGAATAAAACAAGTGTGTATTTTACTCTTTGGAGAAAAGTAATACAAAAAAGAAAGCCAAAACAAAGCAGAATCAAAGTTGGACCTTCATATAGATATGCATGTAAATATATATGCATTTGTGGACTTTCAAAAAATTTAAAAACATTTTTATTAGAGAAATGATAAAACTTTATGATAAAATTGCATTCAATTTGGATTTAGAAAGGGTAAAATTATGTGTCTTAGACCATTTTGTGCTTCTAAAACAGAATACCATAGATTGAGTAATTTATAAAGAACAGAAATTTACTTCTTACCATTCTGGTGGCTAGGAAGTCCAAGATCAAGATACCAGGCTCTGAGGTCTTCTTGATGCATCCTCACATGGTGGAAGGTGGAAGGGGCAAGAGAGAACCAACTCTCTCTGTCAAGACCCTTTATAAGATCACCTCATCCCATTCATGAGAGAGGATCTCTCATGGCCTAAACACCTCTTAAAGGCCTGACCTCTTAGGACTATCACATTGGCAACACTTGAATTTTGGAGGAGATTCATTAAAGCCATGTCAGTATCCATTTCTTACTAAAGGTAAAAAATAATTTGAAGTATGAAGGGAACACAAAATGAATAATACCTCCAAGAAATATTCATTCATTTGTCCACTCACTCACTAAATAAATATTGAGAGACTGACTTGTAAAAGCTAATTTACTCTCTTCTAAGCTCCATCATACCAGGCTGGGAAACTCCCAGTAGATAATATGGGCACTAAGATCCAACCTAATATAAACTCAGATCAATTTACTTCAGATATCAGGATAAAAAGTTCTGCACCATTGTGAGCCAGGGTTCTTCCAGACAGCAGTACAAGGAAGTAGAAGAGACAGAGTTGATCCAAAAAGCAATGAGCCTGGGAAGTTTTTATAGCAGGTAATTTCAAATAAATCATTTTCTATACAACTGAGATTCTTCTATTCATGAATAGAACCTTCTTAAATGCACTCCAGCATTTCTCCAAAGTGGGGCATTGTAAACAAATAAAAAGAGGGCCAGAAATGGCTATTTATCTCACTTAAGTGTAATAGAGCATCCAATACCAGCATCCAGGCTGGGTCAATGGAAATCTGGTTCCAGACTTTGCTTTTGCCTTTGAAGATAATTTTTTTTTTCTTTAAACTGTATTTGAAGTGAGATTCTATATGGACTGCTATGTAAGGGAAGGGATTCTTTGAAAATGGGTCCAACCCACTAGAAGAAGAGATAACAAATGGAGATAAGCTGAACCCTGATTACTTTACTTGGAGCCTGAAATCACCTTTAGCTTAAATCATACTACCCTTGGGCTTAGTTACTTTAGTCTACTTTTTTTTTCCATTTATGTTACTTGCCCCCAAATGAGTCTTAATGGGGACAAATGGTCATTCAGGTACAGGCCTCAGAAGAGCATTCCTGATGAGAGGAAACATTTCCAAGGAATGTTAATGAGATTGTTCTGGGACAGGATAAATAAAAGAAATACATTTAGAGGAGTTCTACATTTAAGGAACAGCACAGAAAGAGAAACGTACAAAACAGCTAGTGGTGGAACAGTAATAGAATGAAAGGGAAAACCAATTTCTTTGAAACGTTTACAGTCATGCCCCACATAATAATGCTTTGGTCAATGACAGACTGCATTTAAAATAGTGGTCCCATAAGATTCTAATGGAGCTGAAAAATATCTTCCATGTAGTGACATAATAGCCATTATAACTTCAAAGCTCAATGCATTACTCAAGTGCATTTGGTGATGCTGATATAAACAAACCTATCGTGCTGCCAATCATAGACAAGAATAGTGCATATAATTATGTACAACACATAATACTTGATAATGATAATAAATTACTATGTTACTCATTTATGTATATACTTTACTATTTAATGTTATCTTAGGGTATACTCTTATTTATTAAAAAAAATTATCTGTAAGACTGTCTCAGGCAGGTCCTTCAGGAGATATTTTAGAAGAAGGCATTGTTATCACAGCAGACTACAGGTCCATGCATGTTATTGCCCCTGAAGACCTTCCAGTGGGATGAGGTGTGAAGGTAAAACACAATTATATCGATGATCCTGATCGTGTGTAGGCCTAGGCTAATGTGTGTGTTTGCATTTTACTTTTTAACAAAAAGGTGTACAAAGCTGAAAAAGGAAAAAATCTTATAAAACAGAGCTATAAAAGATGATATTTTTGTATAGCTGCACAATGTGTTTGTGTTTTAAGCTAAATGTTATTATAAAAAATCAAAGCGTTGAAACATATAAAAGCGTTAAAATATATTAGATTAAAAGGTATAGTAAGATAATGTTAATTTCATGGTCCTTAAGTGTATCATTTTTATAAAATCCACAGTCATATACGGTAATGTCCTAGGGTTTCACATTCACTCGCCATTCACTCACTGACTTATCCAGAGTAACTTTTAGTCTTCAAGCTCCATTTATGGTAAGTTCCCAATATAGACGTAACATTTTCCATCTTTTACGCTGTACTTTTACTATACCTACTCTATGTTTAGATACGTTTAAATACACAAATACTTGCCGTTATGTTACAATTGCCTACATGTTCAGTATAGTCACACGCTGTACAGGTGTGTAGCCTAGGAGCAATAGGCTATATCTCATATAGCCTAGATATGTAGCAGACTATGTTGTCAAGGTTTTGTAAACATCTATGATGTTTGCATAATGACAAAATTGCCTAATAATGCATTTCTCAGATCATATCAGTATTACTGTCACATGATTATACATATTTAATTTCTACTGGTGAAATATTATTATTCATATTGAACAGAATTGAAACTCTAGCTCTATTACTTATCTCTCCTAGTTGAAGCCAAGCTTTTTCCAACAGATTGGAAAACTATATGCTACTGAGAAAGTTACTGCTATTGGAGTTCTAAAATACATACGTATGTCTCTTAGCTCTCAAAATTATTTTGTAATATCATATGCCCAAATACAAAAATATAAGTGCCCAAATATTTAGACTTGTATAGTCAATGAGTATAATTAAGTCTTGACACTAAGTAATATTCAAAGAGGGAAGTTTGCTCTTTATTTTCCTAATTGCCATGGGCAACCATCAGTTATTTATTTCATTTCCTTTCAATAGTTCTTGCTCTCAGCAAGTCGGGATCTCTCAGAGAGAAAGATTCATAGAGGCCTGAGAAAAACAGAAGAATCTAGGGACAAATGTAAAACCATCTTCCTAATTACAATCCATTTATTAGATACACCATCCTAAATTTTGTCCTAAAGAATAAGCAGGGCTCATATTCTATTTCTTATATTTTTTGAGGGACGATTTCAGTGTAAGCAACAAAGCAGTGGAAATAATTTCAAATGCTAGAATAGTTTTTTGAGTAAAATCTGGTCCTACTAATGATTTAAGAGCTGGAACACAACTTCTTGCAGATCTAGAGCTGGATCCTAGTCCAAGTGTTCCTGGAAGGGATGGGGTAAGGGTGAATGGAGTGTGGGAATGCAGTCCTGCTGAGTATGGGCAGCTGTTCTGGAGCCAAGCAATTCACAGTTTCACTTTGCCAAAATAAATCCACTTGAATGATTTTTTTTTCAGGGATGAAACTGAGAAATTGGTGGTGAGTAGTTCTGCTTAGGAAAATTTTTGACATTTCAGGATAAATGACAAATATTACACTTTTTCTGAGACTATCTTAAAAATTCATTTATATATCTAATTCTCATTATTTTGCTAAACTTTCTATACTTGCTATTCACTTATTCACATTTAAATTTTTATTGTGACAATTATATAAATGGAAATAGCTGTATCTTTTAAGTATAGAATCCCTATATTTTTCTTCTTGCTAGCCATATCTATCTTATTTATAGTGAGTATCCACCTTTCATGAATTCTGAAAGTGTTCAATGACCTCAGAAAGCAATACAATTGTGTGGTATACAGAATATTAGATGGTCATAACCTTAGCCTCCCAGTGTTACTTTGATGATTATATTGTATTACATGGCAAAATGGATTGCGCAGATGTAATTAATGTTAATAATCAGTTGATGTGAAGACAGGAAGATTATCCAAGTGTACCTAATCTAATACAATGAGCTCTGTAAAATTTTATTTATTTTTGCCCGACTGTCTTATTTCTGAGAGCCAGTTTTCAAGCTCTGAGGTCCTTTCCTCAACTTGGTCCATTCTGTTGTTAATACTTGTGATTGCATTATGAAATTCTTGTGGTGTGTTTTCCAACTCTAGCCAGTCAATTTGGTTCTGTTTTATACTGGCTATTTCACCGATCAGCACCTGAATTATTTTTTGTGTTTGTTCCTTAGTGATATGGTTTGGCTCTGTGTTCCCATTCAAATCTTATCTGGAACTGTAATCCCCATGTGTTGAGAGAGGAACCTGGTGGGAGGTGATTGGATCATGGGGGTGGTTCCCCCGTGCTGTTCTCATGATAGTGAGTGAGTTCTCATGAGATCTGATGGTTTAAAAGTGACTGTCCCCCTTCACTCTCTCTCTCTTCTGCCACCCTGTGAAGAAGTTACTTGCTTCTCCTTCACCTTCAGCTATGATTATAAGTTTTCTGAGGCCTCCCCAGCAATTCAGAACTATGAGTCAATTAAATCTTTTTCCTTTATAAATTACCCAGTCTCAGAAGTTCTTTATAGCAGGGTGATAACAGACTAATACACTTAGCTTCCTTGAATTAGGTTTCGATGTTCCCCTGAATTTCAATGATCTTTGTTCCTATCTATATTCTGAAATCAATTTATGTCATTTCAGCCATCTCAGCCTAGTTAAGAACCCTTGCTGGGGAACTAGTGTGATCTTTGGGAGGAAAGAAGACATGCTGGTCTTTTGAGTTGCCAGAGATCTTGCATAGGTTCTTTCTCATCTGTGTGTGTGTGTGTGTGTGGGTGTTCCTTTAATTGCAGTGTAAATTGAGTACAGTCAGTAGACTTCTTTCCATGTTTTCAGAGTCCTAAGGCTTTGTTTAGGGCCTTTATTTGTAGCTAAATTCTTGTCTTTCTTTTCACAGCAGGGTATGATAGCAAAGTATTATTGGTGTTGAAGTTTTGGGGTGTGATCTAGTAGCTGGTGCTGAAGTGTAATGGTCACTGTGTAGGCTCCTGCTCAGTCATGTGGCTCCTCCGTATTTCCTCATGGGTTGCAGCTATGCTTCCTCTCAATGTTTTGAAAGTCAGTGTAGGCTCCTCTCCCACTTGAGTGCTCACTGCAGATCTTGGCTTGGTGCATCCAGGCTGCACACCATAGTTCTGAAATGATCATAGGCTTTATGTTACTTCCCCAGCTTGGAAGCAGCAGAGGAGACCCTGTGGCTCAACGTCTTTTCTTGTCACTTGGGGCTCCATTGCAGAAAGATGCAGAACTGCAATCAATTAGCATGATCAGCCTGACATGGGGCAGCTGCACTGTGAGCCCACGCTGGGGGGATCCTGTCTGGTGACTAGCAGAGAATGTGGGTAGGACCCGTGGGAGACAGACTGGCCTCCTCTCATTAGAGCAACTACAACTTGCGGGATAAAGCACTCGGAGTCTTTGCTCCTTCCCTAGTTCAAGGGTAAACAGGGAAGTTAAACTGGAGAGGCAGTGGCAGAGGGACTTTTGGTTGCCCCTGGGAGCTCCATCTCTGAGAAATGTGGAGCTGCTGCTACTGGGAGTGTTCAGCCAGAGGGTGAAGCAGCTGCACTGCTTGCCTGAGCTAGAGGCTCTGCTTGTTGGGGAACAGGGGGTCAAGGGCCCATAGCAGCAAGAAATGGGGCTTTTCTCTAAATGGTGGCTGTGGTGTGCTGTACGCATGGGGAGAAAGCAACCAACTTAGAAAACATATTTCAGGATATCATCTATGAAAACTTCGTCAACCTCTCTAGAAAGGCCAACATTCAAATTCAAAGAATATAGAGAACCTTTACAGGATGCTAAAAAAGAAGTCCATCCCCAAGACACATAATCATCAGATTCTCCAAGGCCAAAATGAATGAAAAAGTGATAAAGTAAGCTAACGAAAAAAGGCAGATCACCTACAAGGGGCACCCCATCAGGCTAAAAGCAGAAATTTCAGCAGAAATCCTACAAGCCAGAAGAGATTGGGGGTCTATATTCAACATTATTAAAGAAAAAAAATCTTCATCCAAGAATTTCAGATGGAGCCAAACTAAGCTTCATAAGTGAAGGAGAAATAAGATCTTTTCAAACAAACACATTCAGAGGGAATTCATTACCACCAGACTGCCTTACAAGAGTTCCTGAAAGGAGTAGTAAATATGGAAAGGAAAGACTGTTATCAGCCACTACAAAAACACCTTTAAGTACACAGACCAGTGACACTATAAAGCAACCACACAAACCAGTCTGCATAATAATCAGCTAAGAACAGGATGAGAGGATCAAATCCACATATATCAATAATAACTTTGAATGTAAATGGCCTAAATGCCTCAAAGAAAAGGCAGAGTGGCAAGCTGGATAAAGAAAAAGACCCAATGGTATACTGAATTTAAGAGCCCCATCCTACATGCAAGGACACCCATAGGCTCAAAATGAATGGATGGAAAAAAAATCTACCATGCGAAAGGAGAACATAAAAAAGCAGAGGTGGCAATCCTAATTTCAGACAAAACACACTTTGAACCAACAAAACTCAACAAACACAAGGAAGGTCATTACATAATGGTAAAAGGTTGAATTAAACAAAAAGACCTAATTATCCTAAATATACATGCACCCAACACAGGAGCACATAGATTTGTAAAACAAGTTCTTAGAGACCTACAAAGAGACTTAGATTTCTACAAAATAATAGTGGAAGACTTCAACACCCTACTAACAGTATTAGACAGATCATTAAGGAAGAAAATTAATGAAGATATTCAGAACTTGAACTCAATACTTGATCAAATGGACCTAATAGACTTCTACAGAACGCTCTATCCAAAAATGACAAAATATACTTTCTTCTCATTACCACATGACACATACTGTAAAATGGAACACACAATCAGACATAAACCAATCTTCAGCAAATTTAAAAAAAAAACACTGAAATCATACAAACGACACTCTCAGACAACAGTGCAATAAAAAATGTGGCACATATACACCATGGAATACTATGCAGCCATAAAAAATAATGAGGTCATGTCCTTTGTAGGGACATGGATGAAATTGGAAATCGTCATTCTCAGTAAACTATTGCAAGGACAAAAACCCAAACACCGCATGTTCTCACTCATAGATGGGAATTGAACAATGAGAACTCATGGACACAGGAAGGGGAACATCACGCACTGGGGCCTGTTGTGGGGCAGGGGGAGGGGGCAGGGATAGCATTAGGAGATATACCTAATGCTAAATGACGAGTTAATGGGTGCAGCACACCAGCATGGCACATGTATACATATGTAACTAACCTGCACATTGTGCACATGTACCCTATTATTATTAAAGTATAATAATAATAATAAAAAAACAAAAAAAAACCAGTGCAATAAAAACAGAATTCAGTACAAAGAAAATCACTCAAAACCATACAATTACATGGAAATTAAACAACCTGCTCCTAAGTGACTTTTGGGTGAACAATAAAATTAAGGAAGAAATCAAGACATTCTTTGAAAATAACAAAAAGATAAAACAAGCAAGAATCTCTGGGACACAGCTAAAGTGGTATTCAGAGGGATATTTGTAGTCCTAAATGCTCACATCAAAATGATAGATATCAAACTAAAAACCCAGCATTACAACTAGAAGTACCAGAGGAGCAAAAGCAAACAAACCTCAAAACTAGCAGAAGAAAAGAAATAACAAAAATCAGAGCTGATATGAAGGCGTTCGAGACATAAAAAAAAAAAATAAAAAGATGAACAAATCCAAGAGTTGGATCATTGAAAAAATCAATAAATAGATATATGGATACCTAGACTTTTAAGAAAAGGAGAAGCTCCAAATAAATACTATCAGAAATGACAAAGAAGATGTTACCACTGATCCCACAGAAAAAAAAAATAACCACCGTAAACTACTTTAAACACCTCTATGTACACAAACTAGAAAATGTAGGAAAAATTGATAAATTCCTGGACACATACATCCACCCAAGATGGAAGCAGGAAGAAATTGATCCTTGAACAGACCAATAATGAGCTTCAAAACTGAATCAGTAATAAATAGCCTACCAAAAAAAAATGCCAAGGACTAGATGGATTCACAGCTGAATTCTAGTAGATATTCAAAGAATAGCCGGTACAAATCCTACCGAAACTATTCTAAAAAATTGAAGAAGAGGGACTCCTCTCAATCTCATTCTATGAGACTAGCATCATCCTCTATGAGACCAGCATCATCTTCATACGAAAACCTGGCAGAGAAACAGCAAAATAAAAAATAAAATAAAAAAATAAAAAAAAACTTCAGACCAATATCCTTGATGAACATAGATGCAACAATCCTCAACAAAATACTAGCGAACAGAATGCAGCAGGACATCAAAAAGCTAATTCATCATGATCAAGTAGACCTTATCCCAAAGACGAAAGGTTGGTTCAATATATGCAAATCAATAAATGTGATTAATCATGTAAACTAAAGACAAAAACCACATGATTATCTCAATAGATGCATAAAAAGCAAAAACCACATGATTATCACAATAGATGCATTCAACACTGCTACATGTTAAATAACCTTCAATAAATTTAGGCATTCAAATGACCACACTGCCCAAAGCAATTTACAGATTCAATGCTATTGCTATAGAACTACCAACAACATTCTTCACAGAACTAGAAAAAAACTATTTTTAAAATTCACCTAGCCCTCAAAAAAGACCCTGGATAGCCAAGGGAATCTTAAGCAAAAAGAACAAAACTGAAGCCATCACATTATATGACTTCAAACTCTTCTACAGGGCCACAGTAACCCAAGTAGCATAACACTAGTACAAAAACAGACACGTAGAACAATGGAACAGAATAGAGAGCCCAGAAATAATGCCACACATCTACAGCCATCTAATTTTCAACAAAACCAACAAAAACAAGCAATAAAGAAAGAAGTTCCCATTCAATAAGTGGTGATGGGATATCTGATTAGTCATATGCAAGAAGATTGAAACTGGACTCCTTCTTTATACCATATATAAAAATCAACTCATCATGAATTAAATACTTAAATGTGAAACCCAAAACTATAAAAACTCTGGAAGATATCCTAGGAAATGCCATTCTGGATATAGGAACTGGCAAAGATTCCATGATGAACGTGCTAAAAGCAATCGCAACAAAAGCAAAAACTGACAAATGGGATCTAATGAAACTAAAGAGTTTCTGCACTGCAAAAGAAATTGTCAGCAGAGTAAACAGACAACCTAAAGAATGGGGGAAAATTTTTGCGAAGTAGCCTTCTGAAAAAAGTCTAGTATCTAGAATCTATAAGGAACTTAAACCAATTAACAAGCCAAAAAATAAAAATAAAAACAAACTAATTAAAAAGTGGATAAAGGACATGCACAGACACTTTTCAAAAGAAGACATACATGCTGCCAACGAGCATATGTAAAAACCTTAACATCCACTCATTAGATAAATGCAAATCAAAACCACAGCAAGATACCATTTCACACCTGTCAGAATGGCTATTATTAAAAAATCAGAAAGCAACAGATTTTGGCAATGTGGTGGAGAAAAGGGAACACTTACACACTGCTGGTGGGTGTGTAAATTAGTTCAGCTATTGTGGAACGCAGTGTAGTGATTCCTCAGAGAACTAAAAACACAATTACCATTTGACCCAACACCATTACTGGATATATATTCAAAAGAAAACAAATTGTTCTACCATAAAGATACATGCACACATATGTCCATTGCAGCACTATTCAAAATAACAAATACATGGATCAACCTAAAGGCCCATCAACAGTATATTGGATAAGGAAAATGTGGTACATATACACCACGGAATATATGCAGCCATAAAAAGAATGGAATCATGTCCTTTGCAGCAAGATGGATGGAACTGGAGACCATTATTCTTAGCAAACTAATGCGGGAACAGAAAACCAAAGACTGCATGTTCTCACTTATAAGTGGGAGCTAAATAAGGAGAACACGTGGACAGAAACAACCAACAATGGGGCCTACTAGAAGGTGGAAGGCAGGAGAGAGAGGATTTAGAAAGAATACATACTGGGTACTATGCTTAGTACCTGGATGATGAAATGTTCTATATACCACAGCCTCGTGACACGAGTTTACCTATATAACAAATCTGCACATGTACCACTGAACCTGAAATAAAAGTTAAAAGAAGGAAAAAAGGAGTCTTACCTGGCTTGCAGCCCGAGAAGTCAAAGTGATTTGAATCACAAGAAGGGTTCAGTGTATTGTTGCTGCCTTTGAAGACAGAAAGGGGCCACATGCAAGAACCAAAGGGTGTCTTCTAGCAGCTTGTGCAATCCCAAGTGGACATCCAGAGGAAATGTGAGCCTCAGTGCTACAATCACAAGAAACTGAATTCTTCCAACAACCTGAATGAGCTTAGAGGTGACTTTTCCCCTAGTTTCCAGATAAAAACTTAAAGTTAGCCATATCTTCAGTATCACCCTGTGAGTTCCTAAGTAAAAAAACCGGTGGAGTCTGCCTGGACTTTTGATGTACAAAACTGTTAGAAAATAATTGAGTTTAATGTTAAGTAAAAAATATGAGAAATCAAACCTACGTAATAATTTTGTTAATTTCTACAAGTCTTTCAAATCAAATAGGTAGGATTTTTAAATTATATATTTTGTTGTAAGGTTGTGTATTATTCTCTATATAAATAAATTCAAATTTTAAACTTTATTCCAAGGGTTGGTAAAAACATATATTATTATATTGTGAAAAATGATTATAATTTCAGTTATAGTTCTCAGTTGTGGTTTTATATTTTCTTTCGTATTTTTCTTGCGTGTTTTCTGTGTGGTTTTCAAGTGTTTTTAAAGTTTTCCTCCATCCTGGATTTTCTTTCTCTCAATCCATGTATCCTCCAACTTTTTCAAATATCCCCATCAAATTGCCTCCCTCTCCACTTACTAATATACTCCTTTCAACTTTTCAGTTGTTTCACACTTTTGTTTTTAGTTCATATTTTAGTGTTTTAGTTTATTTATATTTTATCTTCCTAAATAAAAAAGTTCTTCCTGGAGCATTTATTGACATTCTCAAAGGATGAACCACTTCTATAGAGCTTAACCAACACATTTACTTACAGTTATATTCCCATATTATCAAAACTTTATACTACTCTAAACTTCTTTTTCTGTAAGCAAAAGCCAATTGGTAACTATAATTTGAATTTTCATGTAAAATGACTTGTACAATTGTTTTGTGCAAATGTTATTTTCCTTTTTCGTGTTGAACAATGGGACCAAAACATAAAAACAACCAAATGGCAAACATTTCTTTGACATATTTACTCTGTAAGTGGGCTATAAAGAGGTCTCATAAAATTATTTTTTCTTTAAAAAAATCCTTCTTTTCTGTATCTTCCATTTGATATTAAAATATAACATTAAGCTACTTTTTTTTTTTTAGATGAAATCTCACTCTGTATCCAGGCTGGGGTGCAGTGGCACAATCTCGGCTCACTGCAACCTCAGACTCCACTCCCTAGTTCAAGTGATTCTCCTGCTTCAGCCTCCACAGTAGTGGGGATTACAGGCTCGTGCCACCGTGCCCGACTAATTTTTGTATTTTGAGTTGGGATGGGGTTTCACCATGTTGGCCAGGCTGGTCTCGAACTCCCAACCTCGTGATATGCCCGCCTTGGCCTCCCAAAGTGCTGGGATTACAGGCGTGAGCCATCGCGACCGGCCTTGTGCCTGTTTTACCTGTTATTGCTTACATTCTGTTCTCTTTACTATTTAATTCTATTCCATTTACATAGACTCAATGCCTAAATTTTATTTAACTTTGAATCATAATTTTCTTTAATTATCCTAAATTTTCTCTGCTTTCCTTCTTGACTTATTCCTTCTGGTACTTCATTTCAATTACTAAAATTTACTTGGTTGGTTATTGTTAACCGAACTTCTAATTCAATATAAAGTAGTTCAAAATTATGAGTCTTTATTTTTCAAAAGGTTTTCTTTTCCAGTCATCATCTAGTAATATGTGATTTTAAAATTTCATTAAATTTAGTCTATCTTTTAATTATCTTGGTTTAATGAAGGATTGTTTTAGATATATGTATTTCTTCCTCAATTTCCTTCCTTGATACTACTGCATTGCTTTGTGCATGTGCCCAGCTGTATTTCTTGGTATATAATTTTTTGAGAAGTGTGATGTAGTAACACTTCTACACTTCTACATATTTCTTTTACTTCTAGTAAAAGAAATAATATTCATGAAAGGATTTTAGAAAAACTTTAAAAATAGGTAATTTAAATAGAGGTTTCAGCAGCATGCTGATGCTCCTCAGTAAGAACTAGATGGCATACATAAAGTCAAAAGAGGTTTGACTTTGACTTCAAAAACAATTCAACTAGATAGAAAGGAAATAATAGGTAATTTAAAAATTACTATAGCCATCCCACCTAAATTGAAATGCAGAAATATGTAGAATTAGAAAGTAAAGTATTTATCAAAATATAACGGTTGATCCAAATTATTGCTTTTCTTGTCAGAAATATTCAGGAACTAGGAAATAATAGTCATTACTTTCCCAAGTCAGTTATTCTTTATGTTCATAAGTAATTGCTTATTTGCTATAGCCAATACTCATGGAAGCCTTTGTCTTCTGTGACATAGCAGGTTTACAGTTCTGCTTCAAATTTTTGAAGTTTTCACTGTTACATTCACTGGCTCATTTTATTTCATGATTTTGAGTCTGGGAGACATTCCCTTGGCTCAGTGTTTTCATCTATTGTAAATTCACTTCACTCACAATTTGCACCTTTTCTTCATTTTTCATTATAATAAATAACAGTTTCTTTGGTTTGGAAATCTACAGTCAACCTTAAGTTTACATTCATATTATTTTAATTTGTCTCTATTTCATTCCTGCTCTCATAACCCTTACCTAATCAATGTCTAAATTGTGAAGAATAAGCATTGTAGTGACAAATGTCATGCTTGTCTACATTTCTTTAGACAATATCTTTTTATTTATTTTTCTTTCTTTTTTTTTTTTTTTGAGATGGAGTCTCGCTCTATTGCCCAGGTTGGAGTGCAGTGGCGCGATCTTGGCTCACTGTAAGCTCTGCTAGGTGCAGTGGCTCACGCCTGTAATCCCAGCACTTTGGGAAGCTGAGGCGGGTGGATCACGAGGTCAGGAGATCGAGACCGTCCTGGCTAACACGGTGAAACCCCATCTCTACTAAAAATACAAAAAATTAGCCGGGCGTGGTGGCAGGCACCTGTAGTCCCAGCTACTCAGGAGGCTGAGGCAGGAGAATCGACAATATCTTTTTAAAACATAATTATTTGATTCCTGAATTGCCAAATCCCAGTCTGTTTTTTAGTCCTTTTCTTATTGCTTTCTAAGGCATAATAAATGTAACTACTGGGAGAAATGTATCAATGTCATCTTTGAAAATTTTTAACTATCTAAATTTGGTGAAATGATAAGATATGGATATATGTATTAAAATATTCGCTTGAGCAATGACTCAGTACTTCAGAAACAAGTAGCAGGCTTTAAAACCTGAGGAAAAATTAGGCTTGTGTCACAACACAAACCACAAGAAATCCAAAAACAGTAAGGGTGACTGTGCAAGGAGGACAGAAAAGAAGTACTAAACCACTTTAACACTATCTTACATTTATCAGAAATAACAGAAATTATACATATATGCTCTACAGAATTTTAAACAAAGAAACAAAATGTGGTGCTTTTCTCCAGATGTTTTGGCCAGAGGACATAATCTGAATGATTTAAATTCCTTGAAATTGACTGTGACTTGCTATACAGCCAGCATATGGTTGTTTTATTTTGTAAAATATCCTATATGCTCTTGAAAATAATGTGCCTTCTGTTTCTAAGCCAATTCGGTTAAGTCAAAACAAAATTCTAACTATAAGATAATAATAACCGAGAATAAATAGTCACCTGCAGAGGACCAAAGCATTCTATCAAACTTTTACTGCAACTGGATTGCAAGAAGGTAATGGCATATTAAAAAAGAACCCAGAAATAAACCCAAATACCTAACAGCCAACTGATCTTTGACTAAGCAAACAATAACACAAAGTGGGGAAAAGACACCCTATTCAACAAATTGTGCTGGAATAGTTGGCTAGCTACACGTAGGAAATGAAACGGGATCCTCGTCTCTCACCTTCTGCAAAAATCAACTCAAAATGGATTAAGAAATTAAATCTGGCTGGGCGCTGTGGCTCACGCCTGTAATCTCAGCACTTCGGGAGGCTGAGACATGCAGATCACCTAAGGTCAAGAGTTCAAGACCTGCCTGGCCAACATGGCAAAACCCCATCTCTACTAAAAAAATACAGAAGTAAACCAGGTGTGGTGGCATGTGCCTGTAATCCCAGCTTGGGAGGCTGAGGCAGGAGACTCGCTTGAACCCAGGAGGCAGAGGTTACAGTGAGCTGAGATTGCACCACTGCACTCCAGCCTGGGGCTACAGCAAGACTCTAAGACTCTATCTCAAAAATAAATAAACAAATAAATAAATGAATCTAAGACCTGAAACTGTAAAAATTGTAGAAGATAACATTGGAAACACACTTCTAGACATTGGCTTAGGCAAGGATTTCATGACAAGAACCCAAAAGCAAATGCAATAAAAACAAAGATAAATAGGTGGGAAATAATGAAACTAAAAAGCCTTTGCAAGGCTGAAGGAATGGTCAGCAGTGTAAACAGGCAACCCACAGAGTGAGAGAAAATCTTCACAATCTATACATCTGACAAAAGACTAATATCCAAAACCTACAAGGAACTCAAAGAAATCAGTAAGAAAAAAAACAATCTCATCAAAAGTGAACTAAGGACATGAATAGACAATTCTCCAAAGAAGATATACATAATGGCCAATAAACATATGAAAAAATGCTCAACATCACTAATGATCAGGGAAATGCAAATCAAAACCACAATGCGATACCACCTTACTCCTGCAAAAATAGCCCTAAGCAAAAAATCAAAAAACAGCAGATGTTGACATGGATGCGGTGATCAAGGAACACTTCTACAGTGCTGGTGAGAATGTAAACTAGTACAGCCACTATGGAAAACAATGCGGAAATTCCTTAAAGAACTAAAAGTAGAACTACCGTTTGATCCAGAAATCCTACTCCTGGATATCTACCCAGAGGAAAATAAGTCATTACAGGAAAAAGATACTTGCACATGCGTGTTTATAGCAGCGCAATTCGCAATTACAAAAACCTGGAACCTACCCAAATGACCATAAATCAACAAGTGGATAAAGACACTGTGGTGTGTGTGTGTGTGTATACACACACGATAGAATATTACTCAGCCATAAAAAGGAATGAATTCATGGCATTTGCAGCAACCTGGATGAGATTGGAGACTATTATTCTAAGTGAAGTAACTCAGGAATGGAAAATCAAACATTGTATGTTTTCACTCATAAATGGGAGCTAAGCTATGAGGATGAAAATGCATAAGAATTATACAATGGACTTTAGGGACTCAAGGGGAAAAGGTGGGAAGGGGGTGAGGGATAAAAGACTACAAATAGGGTGCAGCGTATACTGCTCGGGTGATGGGTGCACCAAAATCTCACAAATCACCACTAAAGAACTTACTCATGTAATCAAACACCATCTGTTCCCCAATAACCTATGGAAATATATTTTATAAAAAAATTATAGAAGGAAAACAGCTATAATGTAGAATTTTATATCCAAATGAAATGCTGTTGAACATTGAGAGCATTTTAAAAAATATTCCCAGACTCATCCTCCCTCAAGTGGTTTGCTACCCAAAGCAGGGTACTAAAAACATTTTTAGAGAAATTATTCAAACAAGAAATTCAAATATAGATGATATGTCAAGAACTATCAGATGTACAAATCATCTGATGTCATAATAAAATTTACTGTTATTCATTAATTTTCTTTTAAATAAACGTTTTATTGTTGTTTCACACCCCTAAAAAATATACAAATCATAAACATAGATCTCAATGGGTATATCATAATAAACATTCAATGGATATTATAAAATTAAAAAAAGTAAGCTACTATTTTGCAATAAACATAAATAACCATGCAGGTTAGGGAATTAGCTATTACTGACAACCCAGAATTCTCCTAAACTCATTCCTAGGATAATACTTGCCTACCTTTTCCAGGTAACTAATGTCCCGACTTTCAACAATTTTCTCATAATGCTTTCTGGGTTTTCATTTTCAGATTTTGTATTCTAGTTAGTAAATTAATTCCTGTATAATTGATGTTTCTGATGTTATTGTTAGAGGTATCTTTTTTTTCAAATTTCAATTTTAGAAGTTCTTCTTTCCTTAAAAAAGAAATGCAATTGATTTCAAATATTATCTTATAGGCACATACCTTGTAAATGTATTCATATAAGAGTTTATCTGTAAATTGTTCATTTTTTTGGTGAAAAATTATCTTAATTACTTCTCCTCAAGTTCTTATATCTTTTTTATTTCTTCTTTACTTTCTCACTAGCAATTTTGTCAGGTGTAAGGTTGAACAAAGTTGATCATAGTCAGTATCATTTTCTCATTCCCAATGTCAGTAGGAAAATGTTCAACACTTTGCCATTAAAGAGGTGCTCATCACAGTCATTTTGGAGGTAGCCTTTAATAATTTAAATATTTTTTCATCATTGCAACTTAGGTAATAGGCTTTGTCACTCATAGACTTTGGAGTTTTTTTTTTTTAGTTATAGAGAATGTCATATGATTTTTGGCTTTTATTCTGTTAAGAAAAACACACTGCAGTTTTAAAATTTTGAATATTAAAACACGTTCATTCCTGTAACAAGCCCAACCTATGTTTGTGGTTTACATATTGCGGAGTTTTATGTATAATATTTAAATTATTTTTAGCTAGGTTGTAAGAGAGACTGGACTGTTACTGTCTTTTCTTCTAATGTCCTTGTCACATTTCTATGTTAAAATTATCGGTAACCTTATAAAACAAGCTGAGAAATTTTTCAATAGGGGAAATATGTAAGTAATGTTAGTTTTCTTTCCTGTTAATATGTTTTGGAGAATTCTCTAGTGAAACATCTGGACCTAGAACTTTTGTACATATATGAGAAAAAGTTATTTATTATGGATTTTAAAAATAGTTACAGGAATATTCCGATTTTTATGTCTTCTCATGTCAGTTTTGGTAAGTGACTTTTTCAAGTTTTTTACAAATTTTATTGAAACTGTCAAATATGTACTGCAATAATGTAGCTCATAACTTTGAATTTCTTTCTTCTGTAGGATCAGTAGTAATACCTTTTCTTTTTATATTACTGTGCTCCCTCCCTCCCTCTCTCTCTCTCTCACACTTTTTTTTGGTCTCTGAATTTTGTAAAAGATTATTTTAACATTATTACAAGGAAAAACTTTTGGCTTTTTTTTGATCCCCTTGATTATGTGATTCTTTTTGAATGTATTATTTTCCATTAATATCTCTTGTATGACTTCTATTTTCATTGGATTTGGTTTACTGTTTGGTTTTCAGCTTCTTTAAATGTACCATTTTTAAGCATGTTCTATTTTCAACCTGTGGGTATTTGGACTACTGGCATTTAATCTTTTATTCTTTGCAATATCACCATTAAGGCTATAGTTTTTTTAAAAAAATCAATAGCTTTAGGGCTAAAGGGTTTTTGGTTACATGGTTTATTGTATTGTGGTGAAGTCTGGGCTTTTAATATAGTCATCACCTGAATAGTGTACCCTGTACCCACTAGGCAAGTTTCCATCCCTCACTCCTCTGTCACCCTCCCCGCTCTGAGTCTCCAATGACCATTTTACCATCTGTATGACTTTGTGTAACCAAGGATATCCATTTTCTTGAGTTTCAATATGTCATACATTTATTCTCATTTTCTTTCTTTTTCTTTCTTTTTTTTTTCTTTTGAAGACGGAGTTTCACTCCGTCCCCCAGGCTGGAGTGCAGTGGCGCGATCTCGGCTCACTGCAAGCTCCGCCCCCCTGGGTTCACGCCATTCTCCTGCCTCAGCTTCCCGAGTAGCTGGGACTACAAGCGCCCGCCACCACGCCCAGCTAATTTTTTGTATTTTTAGTAGAGACGGGGTTTCACCGTGTTCGCCAGGATGGTCTCGATCTGCTGACCTCGTGATCACCCGCCTCGGCCTCCCAAAGTGCTGGGATTACAGGCGTGAGCCACCGCGCCCGGCTTATTCTCATTTTCTTAAAATATTTTCTAATTTCCATTGAGACTAATTTTGTGACTTGTGAATTATTTAGGAATATGTTGCTTGATTTTAAAATATTTGTGGATTAAGTTGTCCTTTTGTAAATGATTTCTAACAGTTTAACTGATGTCAGAAAATGTATTATTTCTATTTTCAATTATGAAAATTTGTCACGGCTTGATCTATGACACAATATAGAGCATTTGAATAAATATTAAATGTGCATTCACATTACATATTCAATTTTAAGTTTATCGAGTTTAATATTATGCTATATATATCAATTAGATCAAATTTGCTAATAGAGATATCTAATTCTTTATTATTCTTAATTACATTTTTTTCTACTTCTTCCAACCGTGTAAGAAAAGTGGGCAAAAGTCCCCAGTATGATATGGATGCATTATATTTCTCCCATTATTACATTAATACAAATTTTAAATTGTCACATCATGGTATACTGCTCATTTTATCATTTTGAAAGGTATTCTTTTGTCTTAGTACTGCTTCTTGCCACTAAATTTATTTCATCTGATGTTAGTACATCTATCTCAGCTTTCTTTTGGTTATGTCAGCCTAACAGACCATTTTTACATTTTTTTTTCAGACTTCCTCAGTTCTTATTTTTAATAAAACACATTCAATTACTTTTAAAATTCATTTTAGATATTTTTATTAGCCGAAGTATGAAAATCATTTATATTTAGCTCAAGATATTTTGATTGTGGTCTACCACTTTGCTATTTTTCCATCTGTTGTATTTTCGACTTGCTCTTTCTTGCCTTTTTTCTCAATTAAGCATTTTTTTCTCCAATATGCCCTTATAATCTCCTATAAGTTTAAGTATCTTTTGATTTTGCCCTAGATATTATTTCATGATTCCTTGACTTATTAGTGTCTGAGTATAAAGTAAAATTTTCATTACTTTTCTTAGACTATGAAGATCTTATAATACTTTTGATATTTTGTTAGGTAGTTTTGTTGATATTTATTTTAAATTTTATATGATGGATTTTATTTATATAGTCACTATTTATTTAGATTTATCCAGATGTTTTGTCCTTTCTTTTCTTGATTTCATTTCTAAATTTCTACATTTACATGTAAAATAATTTTTCTTCTGCTTGAAAGACATTATTATTTCATTTGGTGTAATGTATAAATGATATAGATAGTTCCCTTATTTTTTGTTTTCCTGAACATGAATTTATTTTTTTCTCATATTCCATAATATTTTATTAGGAATAAAATTCTAGTTACCAGCTGGCTTCCATTTGAGAAGTCATCCCTAAGTCATATTGCCACTTTTTGAAGGTAATATGCTTTTTCCTAGAACTATTTTTGAGATAGTCTCTTTGTCGTTAATTCTCTAATATGAGCTATGTAGTTGTCTCCATATTTATCATGCTTCACTCTGGCACTTCCTGAGACTGTGACTTACAGTTTTTCCATCTTTTTTTTTATTTTTTATTTATTTATTTTTTTTTGAGAGAGTCTCACTCTTGTTGCCCAGGCTGGAGTGCAGTGGCACGATCTCGGCTCACTGCAACCTCTGCCTCCTGGGTTCAAGCAATTCTCCCACCTCAACCCCCAAGTAGCTGAGATTACAGGTGCCCACCACTACGCTCAGCTGATTTTTGTATTTTAGTAGAGACGGGGTTTCACCATGTTGGTCAGGCTGGTCTGGAACTCCTGACCTCAGGCGATCCGCCCACCTCAGCCTCCCAAAGTGCTGGGATTACAGGCATGAGCCACCATGCCTGGCTTCCAACATTTTTGAAAAATGTTAAGTTTACCTATTTAAATGTGGCTTTTGCCCTTAATATTTCTAATATTCTAATGAAATTGCAGCCAATAGTTAATTCTGGTTAACTCTAACTCTGTTTTTTGGAGGGTTATCTAAGGTGTGTTACAGTTCATATTCATATAATCAGTGATTAAGCTGGTTTGAGACCAAACTGCAATTATTGTGAATTATAATCTATTTATTTCCATTAATATTCCTAAACCTTTGAAGTGTCAAATGAAGCCTGGGGTGTATAAATCGGCCTTTCTCATTGATAAGTCTTGAGCCATATATTTTATTCTCTTAAAACTATAAGACTATGAATATTTCTGCTTAGGTTTTTCGTCTATCAATAGCCACATACATGTGAGAAAATCTTTCATGGGTCAAGGGATAGTCCATATTGTTCTCAATTCTCTGAAGTGCTGTTTTCTTCGGTATTTTAGCCCTGTAATCTTTAATGCCTTGGAATATTTTTGATACCTCCATGCATATTTTATACAATTTTCATAAGAAGAGAGTTGAGTAGAGAGTCAGTTTATAGTTTAGAGAAAAGAGAAAAACAAGGAAAAAAATAAAGAGAATGCAAATTTTAAAACAAAAGCAATTCAGAATTGAAATTATAGAAATTATCTATATAATGAGAAAGATGAAATTGAAATCTAAGAAACATATGACTATGACAAAGCAAATGTATCTTTAGATACAATATACAGATATCAATAGTTTAAGAAAGTAATATTTATTTTCTTATTTAAAATGTTAAGTTAATTACCACAGAGATAAATTTAAATACTTGTTAAACTAATATAGTGAGCTATTCTATAGACAAACAATAGAAGAAATGGGGAAAGGAAACAAACTAAAAATGTGAGTAAATGTATAATATGATGTAAATTGGCCGAACTAAGTTAAATGTAACAATAATGACAATAAATGCAAATAAGTTAAAAGCAGTAATTAAAGGATCCTGACTTTTATAAATTTTTTAATAAGAGCCAAAACATGTTGTTGACATAAGTTAAAATTTAAAAGAAAATATATATGTATATAACTACTAACATTAAAATTATTTTATAACACACCAGGCTTAAATACTAAAAAGCTAGAGGGGCAATATTTACATGACAACATGACATAATATAATTTAAGGTAAAAATATGTACATTGAAATACATTTATTATTAAAGATTAAAATTATACGAGCTCTATTTTTCAATTAAAAATTGGAGAAAGAGCAGTGGAGGAAACCCAATAGAAATAGTTAATGAACAAAAATCTTTAAAGCAACAACAAAGAATGTTAATCTAACCAAAAGTTAGTTTTTGAGAAAACATTTAGGATACAGAAACCTGTGGAAGGTTAACCAAGACAATAAGAGAGACTGTGTAATATGCACAATTAAAAAATTTTAAGTATTAAAATAGCTTCATTGTAATAAATGTGAATGCTAGAGATGGAAAGATGTAAGGACTGTAACAACTAAGACGTATTAATAATAGGAACTAAAGATAAAGAATATAGGATTTTACAGGAAGTATCTAACAATCATTTCAATATTTATTTCTTAGTCTATTAAAGATCATTCCTTCAAATCCTCAGATAAGTAAATTCTATCAGAATTTTAAGAATCTGTTATTTATTATGCTACTTCTGAATATGGAAAAACAAATTGCCTAGCTAAGGCTAGCATATGTTTTATTCCAAAATCAAGTAGGTAGCAGTAATTACTCTTAAAATAATATTTATGCCAGCAAAAGAGCACATCATTTTGTCCGACAATTTGTATGAGACAGCAAACTGTTTTAGTCAGGGGTTTGAGCTAGATATAGATTTTATCGTGATTATCATTACCTTCAGTCCACACAGGCTTCAAATTCCTATAGGAATGGCTGATGTTGGCTGGGTTTAAGGTGGGTCCTGGGGTGCTGGAGGATTTTGTTTAGTACCTCTGTTCCCCTCTCAGCTTTCAGCATCCTTACCTTCCTGCACCGCCGAGGTGTTCTCTGTCTTTCCTCTTTCCCTTACTCAATACGTAGACAGCTGATGCTTATTATTTGGTATCAGGCTTGGCATAGGGGTAAAAAGTGGGGTGTTTTATGTTGCCCTGTCTCAGCCTCATTCAATCTTAGGTATGTCCTGTGTGAAAAAAGTCCAAGTTTTCATTCCTTTTTGTCTTTTTGTTATGTTGGTTTTAGACTACTGTCATTGAATTAAGCTGAATTTTTTTTTTTTCTCAAAATGGGGCATTCTTAGTGTTCTTGCATTGTGTCCAACTCATCTATGACAATGAAACTCTGTCTTGGATCTGTGGTTGGTTTTGGGTGGAAATATTTACCACTCTATAGTAGTTAAAGGCTTCTTCTTGTTATTGGTATAGAATCTTAGCCACAACTGTTTCCTAGCACTCTTCCAAAGATATAGGATGCATTCTTCCACTTGTTCCCAAGCCTCAGTGCATCTTTGCCTGTGATTAGTGGAAATGACAGTTGTGCTGTCTCTTCTATAGTGGCTTAAAGCTTTGCTTCCTAAGAAAGAATGTTCTGGGGTAGTGGGCAAGGCTTTTTGCCAGTCCCCCAGCAGCAACTGATTATTACCCGAAGCCTGCACTATGCAGCAGGGTCTCTCTCATCTTCTGCCCAGTTCCCAGTCTTTCCCTTCAACAGACAAAGTTCCGTGTAAAAGAGTTTAAGAAATGACCATTTCTTGTGCCTGAGGCCTCCTGCTATTCTAAACTTACAATTTACCCACATTTAGCCTTTAAGAATTTATTAAAGTTTAGCTGATTTCTTATATGATTATATGGTGACTTCCTCTTCATTTTTTGATTGGTCAAAGATGAAACTCATTTTGTGTCCTTTCCATCCTTGAGGGCTTGTCCCTCTCTGGAATCAGTTTACTTGGTTGCCATGCAACTTCATCTCTGATGGGCTGAAAACAACTTATGACTTTGTAGATAATTCAAATATTTCTCACCTTAAGGGTGGGAGCATCATTCTTTTCACCTTTCTACATCCTAATCAGAAGCTGAAAATCACACTGAGGTTTTAGAAATTACTCTTCCAAGATGCAAAATATTAAGAATTTCCATTTTAAATCTTAGCAGAAAAAAATTACTCTAGTTGGAGTTTCACCAAATAATCTTGTAAAATTTGAAGTTTTCTTGAGAGACACCTGCCTTCATCTGGTGTGAATTATGAAAACCTTAGTTACACTTGGAAGAGTAAATCCTTACAAATCAATATATTTAACATTGGTAAACAGACAAGCAATAAAAATAAATTATAAAGAAACAACAAAAATAAATCATTTAGATATCTAACATGATATATATGAGGATTTATCAAATTTTACCTCATGGTTTAATAATTTCTTCAAATTAAAGAGAATACCTTAACACTAATCTGCCTTTAACAAATAAAATTTATTGCTTATAGTTCATACATGTTGTCTTATTAATGCATTAGAAAAAACCTTTTAGTATAATTTTAAAAATTATTTAAAAAATATTTAAGTATGTTTCAACAGAATTGGTACCTTTTATAATACTGTGCTTTCCTTTATGCATTTTCAAAATTGTGTTGAATTAGAAATCAATAAAATTAAAACCAAAAAATAAATAGAAAAAAACTGATGAAAGAAAAAAGCTAGTTATTTGAAAACATCAATAATATTGATAAACTTCTATCAAGATTAACTAAAACAAACAGAGATGACATAAATTATTAATACCAGAAATGAAAGAGAGGACATCATTAGTGATCCCATGTACATTAAAGGATAGTAAAGGAATATTATGAACAACTTTATGCACAAAAATTTAATGACGAGGGTGAAATGTACCAATTCCTTGAAGGACACAATCAACCAAAACTCACATGAGGAGAAATAGATAATCTGAACAGGCCTTTATCTATTAAAGAAACTGAATTAATAATTAATACCCTGCTAAATAGAAAGCACCAGGGCTAGATAAGTTCACTGCTAAATCTTACCAAACATTTAATCAGGAAATTATATCGATTCTGCACAATCACTTCCAATAATAAAAGTAAAAACAAGTTATTCTGGAAAGAGGGACCATGGCACAAGAAATGTTTGGCACAGCACAACCAGTCCCCAGAGACCAAAGCTAGGCCATATCTTCAAAGCCCAGAGTGTGCATAGCCTGAGTCAAGCTGAAGGAAGGAATAAAAAAAAAATGGGGAGAAAGTCAGGGAATATATGATGAAGCAAAATCTTCATGTCTGATGTTCTCAGAATGAATAAAATTATAAAATGCAAAGTGCATATATCACAGTTTCAGAAGCAATATTGGTCCAACTGCTGATTTTCTAAAATGGAGAACAGATCAACCTCTACACAAACTGATAGTGAGGCAGAATATCCTGGTCTTCTTATTGTAAGAGAAGAAAACGTCTTTCATGGAAGTAACAGTGAAAGAATCCGTTATCAGAACATAGGACAGAACGTTTAGGGGTATTTTCCCTGCAGGCACTAATTAGATATATATCATAAGAGCTATGAGCACACAGGTTTACTATCAGTGAGGCTGAAGCAGTGTAATTTCTGGGAATTATAGGCATGACACACATTTGTGACAAATAAAAGACAATACAGATTAAACTGCTAGATCTAATGTCAACCTGTTTTTTGTAGAAAGCCTAGGGATAACTGCCCAAGGTAAATTTTTACAATATGAGCACCTAGTATTTCCAGGGACTTCTTTACTCCTTTCCACATTGCTTTTTTGATGTATGACACTTTGATTTTGTCTCCGATACAATGACCACAGCATAAAGAATTAGTGCCAGTAAAGTTAGATTATAAAATCAAAAATTTGACTAAGACCATAGGAAATAAATCAATAGAATTACAAGATGTAGATTTTAAAATTACTTGGTAAGAACTTGCTTAACTCAAAATACAAGTACAAAATGATATATCAGACAGGAGTCAGACAGGGGAGCAAAGTTAGTAATGTGTTTTATGGGATAAAGGACTTATTAAAGGAATTAGATGTGTAGAGCTGTACAAGTAGCTGGGAAACTCAAGGTCTGAAAGGGAAGTTCAAGAATCAGAGGACCTCTCACTAACAAGTCAATATGAAATACCAAACATATCTCTTTATGTAAGGGTTGCTCCTGGGATGCCCTTTGAGAGGCTGTGATTTTGTGTAGCTACAACCTCTGTTGATTCACATCTAAGAATCTTTTGGTGAGTCTTGGGCTGCTGTTGATGGACAGAGGCAACAGTAGGCAAAGGTGTTGAACGTGGAATAGAGCAGATTTAGGACAGGTTGCAAGCCGGCTGGAACCTCTGCATTGATCCGATACTGCATTTGATTATGATGACCTTCAGAGAATAAGGGCCACCACCTTACTTCCTTTTTCCTAGTTACGTACAAGTTCCTCTTTTGGATAATACAGAGAAGGACATCTTGAAAAAAAATGTACTTTTTTGCCTACTCAAGATGACACAATGCAAAACACCACAAATAATTACCAGAATTGAGGAAAATAAGAATTTTCTTTCTCATGAAAAGTTTAGTTGGGAAAGGTGTTCTAGAATAGCCACATTGGATGGGAGGGTAGCAATGTTTCTCCACTCAGGTGAGGGGAGAGTATTTATAAAGCTCGATGAATATCTCCAAAATTTAGGAGTGGCACAGGAGTCTGATGTTTAATTAATTATTTTCCAGAATTAGAGTAAAAGACAAAGGCTGATAAGCTGTTTTGCTGGTAAATTAAAGAACAGCTGCTAATACATTTAGATTGTCAATTTCATGGGTTTGTGACCACTGTAGTTGTATAAGAACCCACATTCAGTGGATCCTTCAAAACTTTACTGTTACTGTCTTGAAATCCTTAATAATTTTATCTTTGAATTTGTGTTTTGTAAGTGAACTCTGATGGGACAATGGAGCATGAGCCAGGAGCATGGGGCCTCAGCTCACATGTGATCTCACCTTTTGCCATCTTGCTCCCCCACTGATACCTAGAGACCACTACACCACCTCTTACCCAGCAGGGGTCTGAGGCCAAATACAAGGAGACTCAGGGTCATATCCTGAGTAATTTTGAGCGCTCTGTGAGCATCCCTGTTTCCAAGGCAGAGTGAAATTAAGAGCAAAGAAAAAACATCATGACAGGTCAAGAAAGAAACCACAGGAAAAAAAATTCTATTATATTTTCTTTTGTTTGTAAAAGGGATCCTGCAAATTAAGTAGCTGACCTGGGGTTTCACTTTCTGGATTTCAGGGCCCACGAATGCATTACCTTTTAACCCAGATCGGAAATGATCCACATGAGCAATGAAAGATGGCAGATGGCTTGAAGCCAAGTGTGCTTTAAGAACACTTGGGTGGGATTCCATTGCATGGAATGAACTTCTAGAACAGGGGTGTTCAATCGTTTAGCTTCTCTGGGCCACACTGCAAGAAGACGAATTGTCTTGGGCCACATATAAAATGCACTAACACTAACGATAGCTGACAAGCTAAAGAAAAATAAAATCACCAAAAAAAATCCCATAATGTTTTTTAAAAGTTTACCAATTTCTATTGGGCCTCATTCAAAGCTGTCCTGGACTGTGTGTGGCCTTTGGGCTGTGGGTTGGACAAGCTTATTCTAGAAAGTGAAAAGTTTCATGGGAATTGACAGTTGTAGATTAAATGATCACTTACTATCAGTTAAGAAAGAAATTTCTCTCTTCATTACCACTCCTATTTCCAGACTTCAGTCCTAGAGTGGTCAGTAGAAGCAGTTATCCAATAGGAGAGGGGGTAAGTAAGGTGAAAACTGCTGAAAAGGAAAAGAAACCAAGAATGACCCCTTCCCACAGCCTACAGATGAAAGAGGTAGGGGAGAAAACATATCTGAATTATATTTTAATTAAAATATAGAAATTCATATTATAATTTCTGAAATAAAATTGTAGTTTACAACATAATATAACTATCTGTTAAATACCAATAACCAAAAGAAGTCATGAAAGCTGCTAGATTTTTTTACAGATCTGGAAACTTTTCCTGAATACATATTTAAAGAACTACAGAAGACAAAAATGAAATTGCATTGAATGACAATTAGAGACAAGTTTGTTCTTTCGAAAAAATTGGATATTTGCTTTGTAATTTTCACCAATTTTATTTTCCTGAATTATTTCTATTTTTAATGTAGAAACAAAAGTATCTGAGATGGGTCTAAGATATCAGAGAATTATCTGTATTTGTATTGAGATATATCAAAATATAATGTTAATATGATTTGTCACTGAACTATATGATAACTCAGTCGTACTTCTGTCTTTTAAAATTGGCTACAGTTAAACTTCAATCTGTCAATAAAGTAAAAGCTACCAAAGTGGGAATTCTAAAATTATAACATGTGATAAAATCTCAGGCAGAAGTTTTGGATTCTGTTGTTTTTATTTTCTGCCATTTGTGCCGATTTGAGCGGTAACTGACCTCATGAAACATGGAAGTATTATTTATGTACAAGGAACTGACCCCTGAGAAATTGAAGGTCAGCACTAAAATAAAAATGTAGGGGGAAATGCAACTAATAAAATGTAGGAAAAAAATGTGAACAGAAAATATAATAAACCTACATGGTGGTGCTTACGTAGATAAAACTGAAAGAGGATTGTAAATAGAACTGTAAGAATGGATTTGTCTACCATTTATTATATTTTGTTAAAAATAAAGAAATTCAATTTACAATATTGAATTTTACTAGACTTTCTGGTTTGAAAAGCTAGAGTTTCTTTTTCCTTTCAGAAGGCTTGTATTCAGGTAATACTGATGAAGAGAATCCTCAAGACCTTTACACTCTGGGTCAGTTCCAAGATGGCTGAGAGCTGTTTAAAACAACCAAAAAACAACTTGATAGGATTGACAATTTCATGTTTTTTAATAAGTGTTGAATGAGACTGCTAACTACAATCAGCAGATATACATATGTGGTGTCATAGATGTTAGGTTTTCAAAAATAAAGAATGTGTTAGAAAAATGCCTGCAAATCATTCGAATGTTACAACCTTTTAAAAAAAATCTGGCTGTTGAGTGCAGACTGTGCTGTTTCACCTTTTATTACAAAGACTCAGTGAATGAAACATATTTGATAGCTTGGCAATAGAAGAAAAATTTGTATTTAAATGAGGACAGAAGACACTGGGCTGGAATTGATATGATTATGCCACAATTGATGAGTCATAACTAATGACAAAGTCTAGAGCTCAGGAAGCAAATCTGACAACGGGAGTGAGAGGAATGCAATCAGCACACTGGGAGGAAGGCAGGTGCATGCCCACAGGTCGTGCCACAGAGGGGTACTTAGCACAACACTTGCTCCTCATTGTGTATCTCTTGGTTTCTAAGCAAAGGTCTTTGGGGAGAAAAGATGTTATTAAATACTATAAAACTGAAACAAAAATAAAATTGAGCCTAGCTAGGCACTTGAAAATATACTAGTCTGTGACACAGTAAAAGAAAAATCATGTGGATAGGCAACAGATAGTTTTGGAAATTTAAAACTCAGGTTTTGTTTTATGTCTTCATATATGATGCTGAGGTAACAGATATAAAATTAGGAATTTGTCAGCAATAGCTCCTCCTGCCTTTATCATATGTTTTAAATGATTTAACAGTGACATTTTATTGTATTTTCTTTTTTATTGAGATTCATTTCCTATCTTGTCTAATATTCTCCTATTCTCCTGATAGTTTACACACAATTATCACAAAACACTAGCAGTTCCACTAATTTTGTCTTCACTATCCTCAGAGACTTTCTGAGGAAATAATAATATTGTTTCTTTTATCTTTATCTCTGGAGCTTAGTAGGGTACCTTGCCCATTGTAGTTGAGAAATGATAAATAGGAATGACTGAAAAAAAATACATTTGAAAACAGCTTGAACATAAGAAGAAGCTTGAGATATTTATAATATGGACACTTGTTTTTTTCCTAAAGCAAAGCTATTACTATTAGTTAGAGATTATGTAGATTTTAATTTCTTTATAGAAGACAAAATAAAACTAGTAGATTAAAAAAGTTAGTTCCTGCCACTATTCTTCCCCCAACAAGATATCTGGGGACTGAGTGCCAGAATGAGCAAAGAAAGATTCAAGGACCAAGACTGGTGGAATCCTCTCACTCCAGTATTCTTAGAGTCTTGCTTAGGCTTGAAGCATAACACTGTTGTCACATCACTTGACAATGCATTTACGGAATAAGATTCAGTGAGAAAGAACAAACAAGAAGTGATTATATCCTTTAAAGAGCTTTCTCAGAGGCATCGGCTAGTATCTTGTTTGCTTCTCATTTGCCAGAGTTGCATCAAGTAGCTTCTCCCAACTGCTCAGGAAATTGGGAAGTATAGTTTTCTCAACATTTTCATACCACCACAAACACTCCCAAGAATGTTCATAAGCAGTCTGTAATACACAGGACACGTCCCAATGACCAAGAATTATCTGGTCTGAAATATCAATAGTGGTGAGGTTGACAAAACTTCCTCTGAAGCACCCGGCATTGGGATAAGGTCTCAAAGGAAACGTTAAAAGACAATGCAAAATGAAGAAGAATATGGGGTACCAAAATTATAGTTATCAATCAACCACAGAACTTAGTTTTCCCCAAATATCTGAAAGGTTGTTTGACTTGTCAAAATGGAAACAATGTATTCAGTACTGCTTCAGAAGGCAAACCTAAACCAAAGTTTGAAATCTGTGATGATGAACATATTAAAATTATAGAATCATTTGAAGGTTATTATTATCCAGCAGTAACACAGTAGATGCCTTTACAGAACTGAATGTAATGAGAGACTAGTATTGTGTCCCTTTGTGAAGTCTTTAAATTATAACAGTTTCAAAATATATGAAGATTTTGACCAAATCAGAACAAAGGCCATTCATGATATAAACCACTTTGAGACAGTAAGAGCTATTGGTTGGGTCTATAGGGCCACTAGTCTAGGCCTCCGATAATTTATGCACCAGGAGAAATGTCTTTGAGGAACAGATAATTGCCTGCATGCCTCTCCTAGACATGTTGGTGGAAGCTGCAACAGGAGTGGTTATTATTAATCCCTTTTAGAGGACAATACTAGTCTCACCTCTGAACCACCCATCAATATTGTGCTCAATTAGCACTTTGTTTCAATTGACAATGAAATTATATACTGAAAACAGCATGAATCCATGACCTGACCAGAAGCATTCTCTAGCCAGTGAATGATTTTTCTATCCTTGCCTCCTTTTCAATTTAACAAAAGAGGATAACACTGAATTCAGACTACAGGTGTGCAGATCCTCATTGTTTTAAGTCATCAGAAAGAACAGAATTAAAAATTAATTTAAAAACTAGGAATATTTATATCGTCTTTCCTCATAGTTTTCCTCTTCTGGTCTTTTGCCTTAATAGTTATTTACTATTTCTCATTCATATTTGGTAGAAAGTGTCATTATACAATGTATAACAAAGGTCTTGAGAATACAAATGTATAACTCTTTCATATAATTATAATCCAAAGAAATCTTTAATATATTCATGTTAAACATCAGTTTATATGATATTTGCAATCCATGTGAAAAAACCATTTTACAAAAACATTAAAATAAAGCCCAAGTTTTTGTATTTGAGTGATTCAGCTTAAGAAGACTTATATAATTTACGAAATAAATACATATCATTTGAGCATAATGCAACACACCTTTAAAAACCACTTGTTTGAAAAGAAGCAAGGCATATCCACTGATTATATACAACTACTGCTTTCAAAATTTTCACTTTTAACCAGTAGACTTTTCATCAGTGTTTTATATTGTCAGGGTGTTTTTTGTTTTTGTTTTTATGATTTAATGTATTTAACTTGTTTCTCTATTAGAACAGAAAAAACACATACTTCTTTATTTCTTCTGCATTCCTTTCCATTTGTTGGCCATGACAGCAGTTAGATTATACCCCTTTCTACTGAAGCGTTGTGCTAAGTTTTGGGAGGGCAGGAGAAAATATCTTCAGCTTGAAAAAAAAAATACTTGAATAAACAGGTAATTTTTTTATTAAGATATACAATGGTCACTTTCTTTAGTGAGTTATGACAATCTACCTCTGAAGTACAACATGTTAGAGTCATTTGCTCTGGACAAAGTCACTTTCAGGAATGGTTTTATTACAATGAAAAGGAATAGGTATACTGGCTCTTAAGTGCCACTATTGCCCTTTATGAGAATGAGAACTAGATTAGCTGGCACGCTTATATCCCACACTCTTTATGAGCCTTATATGTTTTGGGGTATTTTCATCATTTTAATCTGGATGATGTTATTTTCAGAAACATCCTAAAACAATTTTCAAAGAAGCAAGGAAAAGGTTAACACTGAACTTGCATAATATTCAGTCATGAAAATGCATTTGAATACATTTGTTTAGCAATGCTAACATAGCAATCTTCAGAAGTTGCCCAGAGATATCTTTTGAGGTTTCATATTATGTTAAACATGCAAAAGCATAAAAACAGGGAAAAAGGAAATGGTATAACAATAAAAAGGTTTAAAATGATGAGGAATATTCATTTGCTTCCCTGATTAAAATTAAGTTTTATAATTATATGGATACCAATATATTAGAATTGTTATATACAATCTAATTTAAGGCATAAGAGATAAGTGTGTTCAAGGGGAGTAGCGAAAAAAGTGCTCTTAATTTTTCTTTTTGATTTTTTGCTGTGGTTAGTGTTAATACATGTATATTGAATGGATATCTTATTTTTAAACAACAAAACCTTATTTCAACAACACCAATCTACATATACCTGATATTTTATATAATGCACTAATGAAAGCATTGTGATGTTAAAATTAGCATTGTAGAAAGGAAATTGATAAATGTAACTAGCAAATATTAATTTTGGGGGATGAATATTTTCTAATCTATTTCTGAAAAACTATTACTTGGTTATACTAATTTATTTGAGGGTACCTTCCCCTGTATCATTTTTACCTCCACTTTTGAAAGAAGCAAACAATACTCCTTCTGAAAAATAAATTTTAATTCTACAGCTTTCTATGACAACTTTTTTGTTATTCATACCAAAGATGAAGCTATGCCCATACCTTATTGATTATATATGCAAAGAGTTCTCTATCAGGAAAGTTTCAACATGAAAGATTTCTTCCCACTGAGGAGTCTCTCCATTACAGAAGGTCAACTGGTAAATGTTATTCTGTTTCCACTAATAACCATTTGATCCTCTTTTAGATTTTCATTCACTCTAGTGTTAAATGAATCTTTGCTGAAAATTATTAAATCAAAACTATAATACCTTAATAGAGAAAAATGAATGTTATGAGGCAGTATCTCACCATCAAAGTTGCAGAGACATGTCTTTTCAAAGTGAAATATATAGCTTATCTAGTTAACAAAAGGGCAGCAAATTCCTTTGCAGGTCTAAAATTGAGCCAGCAAAGTGGTGGTTTACAAACAGATGCCAGTTTCAATTTTCATGTTAGATGATCAAATATATATTGAGTCTGCATAGGAAATGCTGTTATCACAGGATTCAACACACAATGTCGAATTCCTACATAGAGAAATTTCATTTTTTCATTACATTCTGTACATGCAAACTTCCTAGCTAGTGTGGAGAAAACCTAGGAAAAAAAAAAGTTTAAGGTGAACCTTGAAGGATGAGAATGAATGAAGTACAGACGATTATGTAAGGTTTGAAGGCATGACACTGTATACAATTACTGAGTAAGGATGGAACACATCCACACTAGTGATGAGAACAAATTTATATTTTCAGTGCAGTACATCCATTCATTCTTGATTCCTTCTTAGACATTATTTCCTAAAATTGAGCCACAGGATGGTCAGAATGGTCAGATCTGCTACCACAGGGAACTGGGACTTTTGTTTAATAATACATACTCCACAAACATGCACAACCTCTTCTCCTCTTTTCCCCCAGAGTAGCTGATTCTACTACAGTGATTCATATGACCTGGATGGGTAAAGGGGTATATGCAATCAACTGAGTTCATTAGAATAAGTTTTAAAGTGTTAAAGAAATGATGAGGCTGGGCGTGGTGGCTCACGCCTGTAATACCAGCAGTTCGGGAGGCCGAGGCGGGAGGATCAGGAGGTCAGGAGATCGAGACCATCCTGGCCAACATGGTAAAACCCTGTCTCTACTAAAAATACAAAAAAAATTAGCCAGGCGTGGTGGCAGGTGCCTGTAATCCCAGCTACTCCGGAGGCTGAGACAGGAGAATCGCTTGAATCTGGGAGTGTCGGAGGTTGCAGTGAGTCAAGATCGCCACGGCACTGCAGCCTGGCAACAGAACGAGACCCCGTCTCAAAAAAAAAGAAAAAAAAGAAATGATGACTCCCTGTAACAATTGCCTGGTGACTATATTCAACTTAGATCAAAACAATGCAAAAAATCTACTGTAAACTGTGCCATTTCTGTATCAGGATTTTACCAAGTTAGCACAGGAGTAATTTATATTTTGAGTTTAAACTTTAGAGCAGAGCTTTTAAATGGAAAATTCTGTGACAATAAAAATTTCTATAATATACTGAAACCTTGGAACAAGAATTAAAGGCATACAATGGTATATTTATGGAACTTTTATTTTATTTTGATTAATTTAAATACAAATGTAAATAACCTCATGCGTCTATTGGCTACCATATTGGATAGCACAACTGTACAGCATCAGTAAGATTTAAACTCATACGAGTATTATCAAATCTACTAAAAATAGATAAGACTTTTTCCTATCTTAAAATAGAACTAAGGTGACATTTTTTTTCCACAGCCATATTAATGGATAGCAACCTTTTCAATACTGTTTCCTCATAAGTGTATGGATAAACGGATTCCAAATATATTTGGTTAAAAGCAAGGCAAACAAATATATTGAATTCAGATAAGGACTCTAGGTCAGAGATCAATCGAAAGTGGGTCCTGATTTCAAGACTACATTATTTTGTGCTGAGTGAAACAAATGAAAGCTAACTAAAGTAAGTATAAATGAAATAAGATTTGTAATATAGGTAAAGCAAAGTGCCCTAGGAGAGCAGGAATATTTCTTTCCATTGTCAGATATAAGCATGATATTTGTGGTGGGCCTTGAAAGACTAGAAGAATAAGAGATGTAAACAACAAGACTTAAAGGCATAAAATGGTATATTATATTTATGGACACTTGGAGTTCTCACTATTAAGTGGGAGGTATTGATAAGAACACATGGACATGTAGATGGGAACAACACACAAACCAGGGCCTTCTGGAGTGCAGAAGTTGGGAGGAGGGAGAGGATCAGGAAAAATAATTAATGAGTATTAGGCTTAACAACTGGGTGATGAAATAATCTGTACAACACATCCCCATGACACAAGTGTACCTATGTAACAAATCTGCACCTTTATCCCTTAACTTAAAAGTTATATATATATTAAAAAAAAACAGTGAAGTTTGAAGTGATGCTAAAAGAGCAATCTGGCAATAGGACATGAAAGGTCATGATGCTATGTCTGGAAATCTGAAACTTACTCTGTGGATGATAGAGCCAAAAATATTTTAAGTATAACAACATGATTTGATCTCTGCATTAGGAAGATAGCCGTATGGCAATATCTGGGGATGACTGCAAAGGTAAGAAATTACAGGCAAGGAAACCAGTGAAGAAGTTACTAGCTATAATTCAAGAATGATAAATACTTGAATCAGGCTAGTATTTTAGAAGGTATGCAAAGTAAAGGCTATCTTTCTGGGCCATTGCAAAGTTGGGAGGTGATTACTGAATAAACCAAGCATCTTCGGGAGAGGAGACAAAAACAGTCTGTGCCATTTCATTTCGAGGCCTGGAATAAAGAGTGATGACACTAAGAGAAGGTTTGGTTCTAAAATACTTCTTTATTTTCCTGATTTTTAGGTTTTTTGTTTCAATTGGAAAATTCCTAGTATTTTTGTGATGTCAGTGAAGAAACTGATGATTAAAGAGAAAGAACATGAGTTAAACAGAATGTACAATTCAGAAACTAGGTTTTCAATTATAGTTATATTTTTAGGAAAAAAAGGTAAAGCAAATCTAATTTTAAAATTCAGTCAATACGAAAGTGTGTAACGCAAAATAAAAAGCAAAATTAACCTCACACCTACCTATTAAAAGAGTTTCCACTGTTAGTAATTTGCAGTATTTACTTTCATAACTTTTTCTACATATGTATAAACATATATACATTTTTAAAATATGAATTATTTCTCTTCACTGTATATTTGTATGCAGAAATATCTATAATGCATACCTAATAGCACTGCTGAATTATATACTTGCTTGAGTTGCATACTGTTGCAGCCCTACAGGTACATATTTTTATTTACACAACTTGGATGATTTTCATTCAGTGAAACAATTTATTAATTTATTCCTTCCATGTCAATGAACGTAGAGCTTTATTATTATTTTCCATGGTTTTCAGGGTATTCCATAACACAGACACATCACCATTTATTCTTTCTGTAGTAGACATTTAGGGGATTTAAAATGTTTACATTATAAATACTGACAATTTAGTAATTAGTGTCTTAGATAATTTATTCCAAGTTAAAAACAAAAATAGAGATTTAATGTAAGTCCAACTGAGAAATCTATAAAGTAGGCAAAATTTTAAAGTTATCATACACATAAAAATTCAAATGTATTCTTATCTACTCATAGTTTTAGTAACTCCTCTGATAAAAAAGAGATCATAGTAGAAATAATCAGATATGAAAAAAATTAAAGATTTAAAAATTTGGTATGTATTACTCTCCACTGAAGACATGATCTTATTGGTAATTATTGGAACATCATGCTATCTACATACCTATTATTTTAGATATTTATCTATCCACATAGATTCCACGTCATGCTGACACACACACATCCAGGTGTACACACACAATTTGGGCCCTTTTACACTATATCATTTTAAAGTGATACGTGCTGAGATTTCATCTATGAAATAGTCACCCAATTACAGTTCAGAGAATCTCCATCTGAAAAGAGGTGAACACAATTTTCACCTTGTGAATATTCAGAAATTGAATCCAGGGAAGAAATTTACTGCTAGTGAACATTGTTTGTATATGAAAAATGAGAACCTAGGAAGTGGCTATTTTCATAATGATATAAATCTGGAAACACAACTAGAAATACACTTCAGCTAAGTAAGAATTGCAAAGAACTTTGTACTCGTTCAAATGAAATTATTTCCTGGCAGGGAATTTCTTTTTTCAGTTTCTCTTTAATTTCATTCAGCTCAATTCTATTTTGTAATTACCACCTTCATAAAAAGTAATCATAATAACCAGTTCTTCTGAAGATAGAGAAACAAGAATATGGCCAACTAATTACAAACGTTTGGGAACACTTATCAATAAAATGTATAAAACCAATTCATTTTCTGCCAATAACATGATCATGTATGTCTCAAATCACAAAAGACGATGAATTATGCAATTATTTTTCTCTTGAGATCCTTAAAGATTGGAGTAAGAATAAGGAAGTTATATTATTTTTCCATAGGGACTAAAACGTAATCCACATGCTTTAATATAATGGGCTGCTTGTTTGCCTTTCTGTGAGACAAGGCAAGCATATCCACCATACACATGGCATTGATCAGTCAATAAATCTTGCTATGCCAAAACCACAAATTTAATTGGTTCAGCATTAGGGATCCCATATATTAGTTTTTCTCACGACCAATCCCGTTTGGGAAGATTCTAATACATCTTCAAATGCAACTTCTCTATTGTAAAACTGATAGGTCTAGAAAATGTGGAGAAATACAGTGGGAGGAGAGGAAAAGGGGAGAAAAGAGAGATGAGAGAGGGGAGAGGGAAGAATGGGGAGAGAGACAATATATGTTTTTAAACATTTGGAAACCATTTGCTTCCTTTTTTCTTTTACATAAGGCAAATAAGACAATATGCATAGAAGTACTTTATGTTTCAATTTTGAGAGGAATAATTTAAGAAATGTGATCCTAGGCTTATTGTAAGGGATAGACTCATTCTCTTATCTTCTAGGAGCAATTTTTCTTAATGGTTTTTGAAACTGCTGACCAACCATTGTCATTAAAACCCTCTCTCGGTTTCTAAAATACTGAATTTTCCTTATACCTTATAATCTTCTTGACTACTTTGACTTAACTTTTGACTTAGTTTCTATTTACGATCTACCATAAAATAGAAATGTTTATTTAATAATTATTTATATTCTCTCTGTGTGTACACATAAACACACACACACACTTCCACAATCCTGTTAGAAAGTTATTATTTCTAATTTATAATAAGAATACAATGAAATTGTCCATTTAATAGGAAAGCCCAAGATAAGATAGTAAATCCTGAAGCCACAATACAAACACAATTCAGTCTGATTTCTAAGACTATGTTCTCTCGTCACGCCATGCTACATGTGCCCTTAATACCATGGTTCAACGTTCTTCAGTTCTCTTACTGTCATCATTTATAATTGCCTTTTGAGAGATCTCATCCATTCTTAAGATTTGAATGTCCACTTCTGCATGGATGGCATGCAACATCTCCAGTACTGGCATTTTCCATATATTGCTGTACCACTTTGGAAATGCACTGACTCTTTAAAAGCCACATAAATGTTCAGCCATTAAATTCAAAGTTATTATGTCTTAATAAAAATGATTTCCTCCCATCTCAAATCATTATTTTCTTTCAACTATCATATACAATAACCTGTTACACAAATCCGTACGTTGTTTATGGTATTTTGAAACCATATTTTTATCTTCATTCTTGTTTGTAAAAGATAATCTATTATTGAATTCTTTCACACATCACTCTAAACTCCTTTGCATTTTTCTCTTATCCACTTTTACTTTCAAGATTTTTATCTAACCGCTTTATCCCCTACATTGTGATTCATACGCAGCCCCTGGGAAGTGAGGAGTGCCTCTGCCCAACCACGATGCAACCCTCCAGGTGTGAGGTGGCAGCCTTATGTGTGATCTTTCTGCCCTCCCCAAGTTTGCATTTTCGACACTAAAGTTTACTTTTACATTAAAAATAATAATAATAATATAGAAAAAGGTTTTCCTATTAGAGTTTCTGTTTCTAAATTCTGCCTTAAATCCAGGTTTTATAAAACTATCGTTCGGGCATTGTGCCTCACACCTGTAATCCCAACACTTTGGGAAGCCGAGGCAGGTGGATTACCTGAGGTTAGGAGTTCGAGACCAGCCTAGCTAACATGGTGAAACCCCGTCTCTAGTAAAAATACAAAAATAAGGCAGACATGGTGGTGTGCACCTGTAGTCCCAGCTACTCGGGAGGCTGAGGCAGGAGAATTGCTTGAACCCAGGAGGCAGAGGTTGCAGTGAGCCGAGACTGCACCATTGCACTCCAGCCTGGGTAACAGACAGAGACTCATTCTCAAAAAATAAAATAAAATAAAACAAAACTATCAATATTTCTAGTGAAATTCATATCACTCTAATACCTTAAGATATATTATCAAAATCTCCTACTTAATCAAGCCCTGTAATCTCCCATCAGTGAAACTCATACATACGTGGGACGGGGAAAAAAACAAAAAAACACCTTTTCTTATTGCTGGAAACCTAGAGTAGTTTTGAATTAGAAATTCAGAGTTGCTTTGAGTTACTGTTATTCCATGAGAAAAACAGTATTTTATGGATATTTCTAAACTTAAAAAGATAGATCTAACCAAAGATGGCTTCTCCCAGTGATTTTTGATCTTTCTAGGGGCAGTATATAATCCATTGCAGGAAGCTGTGGTGCTATCAGAAGCTGAAACATCAAGAACCCAGATTATTCACATTCCCCTGCCTCCTATCTCCTCTCTCTCTCCTTCCCTCACTGCCCCACTCATTGATCATTTACTATTTCTTTTCACAGTGAATTATGCTTTTATCATGAATAGTATCTAGGTTTATAAGTGTACAGTAATATAAATTCTAAATTCTTCGGTTTAAATGTATTAATTTTCTCTCATACTTTACATCCTAGAATGATTATCTTGGATTATGGTGTTCCTAGACATTCTTGGAGTATTCTTTATCCCAAACTATTTCAAATTTAAAGCTTCAATCTCTAAAAGACTGTTAGTAAAATTAATTTAATATTTTACCTGCTCACCTCTTTGCTACACTGGGTCTTTCCTATCTGTGGATTCTATATCCATGGACTCAAAGGGACACAGATTGAAAATATTTGAGAAAAAAACAATAAAAATAGCAATACAACAATAAAAATAATACAAAAATACAGCATAACAACTATTTACAGAGCATTTACATTGTATTAGGCATGATAAGTAATCTAGAGTTTATTTAAATTATATAGGAGGATGTGTGTGAGTTTTATGTAAATACTATACCATTTTTAATCAGGGACTAGAGCATCTGCAGATTTCGATATCTGAGGGGTCTTGAAACCAATACTTCACAAATACTAAAAGAAGATTGTACTTCTGTATCTATCTGTTTTTTGTACAATTGAAAGATTCAGATTCTTCCCTTTTTATCTCAGTTTATAAGCACCCCCCATAGTTTTTCTTTCATCTAAACAAATGATGGACCATTTAAAACAGAAATTTCATGCCCACATTCTTAGTGTTTAAATCTCTTCATTTATGTTCTACCTTCCATGATGATCACAAGTACTGGATCACTGTACCAATTTTTTTTCTCTTTCTGTATCTTGATATCAGAATGACATTAGAGGAAACCACGTATTTGTGTAGATTATGACACTCTAAACCTCATCTGGTCTATATGAACTAGTTAAACATGATCTTTATCAGTCACCTTTTCCATTTCCCACATAAGTTATTCCAAATGGATACAAAGCACCTCAAGTCCCTCATATTTCCACCGCTACAAATGCAAAGGGTGAATATAATCATATGGGAAATTGTGGTTATTAGTAAGATTCCTTCAATGTCCTGTCTGTATCTCTTTATATAACAAATAAAAAGAAAAGCAGCCGAATTAGAATTTTACTCATTTTCACATCTTTTTCTATAGGCCCACAGGATGAGCTTTTCACCGTTCCCTTTTTAGAGGGGATTTTTCCACCAGTGACTTTGATTTCTATACTTTCATTTCTACCATAACCTGAATTCTGATCTCAAGTATTTTCAACTAATGTTCAGACACGGTGGCTCTGTCATAGTTCTTACAGTCAAGTCTCTTATTTTTCTCTCACAATTTCCACCTCCGAGTAGAAACTACCCTAAATCCTCGCCTTTCATTTTCAGTCAAGTTTCTGAAAAGAATATTCTATGAAATGTTTTTCAAATCTGGCTGCACATTAGAGTCACCTTGGGGAGGTTTTGAGCCACACTGATGTCCTTTTCCCTCCTCAAGAAATTCTGATTCCGTTGGTCTAGGGTACAGTGACAGGCATAATTTTGTTGTTGTTGTGGTTTTCTCTTTTGTTTTTTGTTTGTTTGTTTTTAAACTTCCCATGGGATGGGATTCTTTTTTTTTTTTTTTTTTTTTTTTTTGAGACGGAGTCTCGCTCTGTCGCCCAGGCTGGAGTGCAGTGGCGCGATCTCGGCTCACTGCAAGCTCCACCTCCCGGGTTCACGCCGTTCTCCTGCCTCAGCCTTCTGAGTAGGTGGGACTACAGGCGCCCGCCACTATGCCCGGCTAATTTTTTGTATTTTTTAGTAGAGACGGGTTTCACCGTGTTAGCCAGGACGGTCGCAATCTCCTGACCTCTTGATCCGCCCGCCTCGGCCTCCCAAAGTGCTGGGATTACAGGCGTGAGCCACCGTGCCCGGCCCTTCCCATGTGATTCTTATACGCAGCCGTATTTTGAAACCACTGTTCTACTAACTCAGACAATGGTTTCTCATTCCTCTCTCATGTACTCCAAATACTTTCTACTTCTACTTCTCCCCTAAAACAGTTCTTTTGAAGGGCACTAATATCTCCCTTGATTTCCAAGTCCAGTTAATTATTTTTAGTTTTTGTATTATTTTTTCATACTGAGTCTCAACTTTTCTTTAAAAGCCTTGCTTTCTATGACATCATTCTTTCGAAATCCATTTCTATATTTTTCTCAGTTTTCAGTTCTGGTTCTTTTTATCCTTCCTTCCTCTCAAAGGCCACTGTTTCCCAACCTTCTGCTCTTTGCTCCTTTTTCGTCCTTCTTTGTAAGCACCCTCATGACTCCCTCCTCTTGCAGGGTTCCATTATTACACATTATGTTTCTGTAGCCCGTACAGACTTTTGCTGTATAACATCAGATTCACATTTAAGAACCTACTAATGGCTGGGCGCGGTGGCTCACGCCTGTAATCCCAGCACTTTGGGAGGCTGAGGCGGGTGGATCACGAGGTCAGGAGGTCAAGACCATCCTGGCTAACACGGTGAAACCCCGTCTCTACTAAAAATACAAAAAAAAAAAAAAAAAAAAAATTAGCCGGGCGTGGTAGCGGGCGCCAGTAGTCCCAGCTACTTGGGAGGCTGAGGCAGGAGAATGGCGTGAACCCGGGAGGCGGAGCTTGCAGTGAGCCAAGATAGCGCCACTGCAGTCCAGCCTGGGCGAAAGAGCGAGACTCCGTCTCAAAAAAAAAAAAAAAAAAAGAACCTACTAAGTCCTTCCAGAATGGTGTTCCAGATCCACCTCAAATACCACGTTTCTGTCAAACAGCAGCTTCTCCACCTGAACTATTCTTTCTTTAGTATCATGATTCCCCAGCCCTGACACTCATGAGAATCACTTGAGGAAATTTAAAATTCTGAGACTGGGCTGGGTGCAGTGGTTCAGGCCTGTAATCCCAGCAGTACCTTTGGGAGGCCGAGACGACAGGATCACCTGAGGTCAAGAGTTTGAGACCAGCCTGGCCAGCGTGGTGAAACCCCATCTCTACTAAAAATACAAAATTAAGCCTGGCATGGTGGTGCACGCCTGTAATCCCAGCCACTAGGAAGGCTGAGGCAGGAGAATCACTTGAATCCAGGAGGCAGAGGTTGCAGTGGGCCAAGATTGTGCCACAGCACTCCAGCCTGGGCAACAGAGGAAGAAAGAGACTCTGTCTCATAAAATAAAAATAAAATTCTGAGTCTGACTTTCAGAAATGTTGATGTAATTGATCTGGGGTACCTAGACATTGAGATTTTAAAAATATTTCAGGTGCCCCTAAAAGGTTCAGGCAATCTGAAAGTTAGGAAGCACAAGAATGAATTTTAGTATCAGGGTATTCAAAGGTGGTTTCATATTAGAATCACCAGGAGAGCAATTTTTAAATACTATTGTAGACCCAAACCCATTTCAACTGAATAAGAATCTCTGAGGTTGGATTTCAGGAATTCGTATTTTTTTAAAGTTCCGCAGGTGATGCTTATGTGTAGGCAAGGTTGAAAACCATTGCTTTAGTAGTTTCATCTCAATGAATGGCACTGTTTTCCACACAATTGCTCATCCAGGACTGGGAGTCATGTTAAACCCAGACTTTATCCTCACCTTTCTCTTATTCCACACTCAAATAAAATCCACATCCCATGAATCCTACATTTATAAAATATTCCTTTTAAACATCTTCTTTTGAATGTCTAATGGCCATTTCAAGTTTTAACATACATAAAATTAAGTTTTTGACATTTCTACCCAAAACAGGACTTGCAAAGTCCAAAATATCATTTTGACATTTTTTCCTAAAATAGTACTACAAATAAAAAATCAGTATTGCCAATTTTTTGAAGCAAACTTATTTGAATAATATAGACTTTTTAAAAAGATCTTTGGATTTTGTTTTTCTTTGTTCCTTTAGGAAAGAGTATTAAATAATAATATTTAAGATTATAGTACTTTGAGTATATTTAGATAGAATGATAGAACAAGAAATTTAAAGAACTTCTGTTGTTGGAAGAAAAAAACTTATAAAAAGATTTCATCTCTTTGTCATGAGTTAAAAACAAACATTTTAAATGTCAATAAATTTCCAAAGGAAATTTGGCTTATAGTAAAAAAAAGGAAGAAGTAGTAGTATATTGAGAGTTAGTCTCAGCTCCTTGAACTTGAGATGTTTCTGTCTATGCCCGTTTCTTGTCTTTTTAAAAATAATTTAAATTTAGAGCAATAATCTGTTATATTATCCTCTGTTTTTAATATTGATTCATATAATTTCTTAGTGTGCTGCTTCTTTTGTTCTTTCAAGAAAAATGAAACTACCCAGAGATGGATTTGCAATCTAGGTTTTCACTACCTTTTGTGCCCCTGAGAGCCAGTAAATCCAGTCTGTTTTGATAATATTTTAGCCATGACACAGGCCAGTCATGGCAAGGAAAAAAAAATGAATTCATAAGAAAAAAATCTGTATATTTGTGAAAAAATCAGGATCTATCATATCCCAAGTTTATTTGGTGGCATTAACATATAATAGTCCATTTGCTTACTCCCCATAAATATGTAAAAAGGCAAAGAGAAAGTAAAAAATAAAATTATTCTTCCACTCACACAAGTGGCTGAATAGGCCTAATCAATATTAACTTCATTGTTCCCCCATAATTCTATATGTTTAGCTTTTAAACATCTATCTTTTAAATATGCTATTTTTATTAATTTGAAGTTAATCAACTAAAATAGGTTCATTCCTTTCACTTTACCAGTATTACAAGTGACTGTCTAGGAGCCTGAGTTCTAATGAGGCAGCCATTCCAAACATGTACAGACAAAGCAGTGGTTTCCCTGGCAACGAGAACCATGAAAAAGCTCTTAGAATAGTTATTCCCACCCTTACACACAACTCCTTTTCATTTCAGTAAAGCTTCCTGTCAGAACACATTCATCAATGTAATTTGCCAACAAAGTTTAAGAGATTAAATCCCCCTCCCCACAAGAATGTAAAAATAAAAAAACAAAATAAAACCTACAATCAAAAATCAACAGCTATGCTGAAATTGTAGTTAGGTCATGAGGTAATGCTTCAAAGGAAGTAAAGGACATCCTAAGACTCCTGAATACAGTTAACACCACTTTGAACCTGAGATTAATTTTCATTTGATTTTTATCAGAGGATACAGAAGGTAGATGCATCAGGAGGAGGGGCAGGTGCCTTTAATCATTACCTCTAGCATTATCACTTACAACCTCAAAGCAGCTTTTATTTAATTTAGTAAAAGTTTATAAAAATTTAAATTATTGTATGCATCAAATTAAGATTTAAGATGTCCTTCATAAACATTAACCTTTTGTTGGTGATGTTTACCAAGAAAGGTAAACTCTGAAAACATGATGTCATCGTTTCAATTGGTGGAATTAAGTAAAAGATTTTCAAATGAAGCACTTGAACCTATTTTCTATCTATGCATGCAGTAGAAAAAAGCACACAAAACAGGCAGCATTTTGTGTCATGTGGCATTTCAAACAAGAGGGAAAACACATCTGGAAATAAAAGGTGTTTAGTTGAAAGAATTGACCTTAAATAAAACAATTGCAACACTTGATTTGGGCTTCTTACTGGAAATCAAATTCTTTGAGTTTAAAATACACCTACTAAATGTAATACAAAACCAAAATAACACACTTTCAGCATTTCTCAAAATGTTAGCACCCAGCAAATGCAGAGTTTACAGTTCTAGTGATTTTCCCTGTTCTTTTCATGGAATGCATATCTAACCCGTTTTTCAGCCAGCATGCTACAGCAAAGGAAGATTCATGTTGTCCAGGGCTATTTCTTTAAAACAGTATGGAAATTACTTTTACCATAAATTAGGTTGTGCTTTAATGCTGAGAAAGGTCTATTTTGCCTTCATTTTGACCCATGACATACTTAGCCTTACAACAGCATAATGAGCATAATGAGGTCAAAACTAACACTGCAAAATAAAACACACCCCCCCACACAAACACACATTATTTCTCAAGGAAGATGAAAAAAAAAAAAGGTCACATTGATTTTCTTTTTTTTAAAGCGGGACATTCTCACTACTTTTTTCACCTGAAGATTGAAAAGGAAACTCATTTCAGTTTGTAACATTGCACTGACTGTTCCAGACACAAAATGAATCAAGTCTCCTGTTGGATTATGTGGTTAGCATTTCTTCTCTTCTCTGGTGAGATAATTCGTTACTTAGGACAGCTGTGGTATAAAAACTCAAACATTGTCTTTTGCAGAATGGATTTGAAAAGTGGGCCCCCATTCTATTTTTGTTAGAAAATAATAAAATCACAAATTTTGTCATGTATCAAAAATGAAAAGTGAAATATAAATGTGAAAGGTCTGATATTTACTTAATGAATATTTACCAAATACTTAGCATTTGCATATTAAGTACAAGCCTCAGGGAAAAAAATGTAGCCGTGTTTAAATCTCAACTTTATTTCTTCCCCTTGCTTTATTTTTTGAAAAATAAGAAATATTCACATTAAAGAAAAAAGAGAACATATTTAAAAATATTTTCATCTATATTCTAGTCTAACCAGAGTATCTATAATTTATATTAGTTACCAAATGTATTAGACAAATTAAAACACAAGAGTTTTTATTATTATAATGCTTTTTTAAAATATGGACATTCACAATTTTATGCTTACAAGAGAATATATAATTCAAGTACTCCCATGAAATAAAGTACCAGTTCTCTACAATCAAACCTACAGTGCTAAACGTCAGCTGAAAATTACTTATAAAACTTTCAATTAAACTTTTACTAGTTTAGGTATTCTCTTCATAGTTGAGAAATATAATGCAAATAAAAGTTGAGTATGCCTCCCTGCCTCCAACTAGGACATAAAGTTGATCTTCCATGTCATGTTTCTTAAAAGTAACTCTAAAATAAGTTTCTTTCAAACCTTCTAAATTATTCTCTTTCCCTAATGGCTTGTTGTATTCTTCCCCAGCAGAAATTACTAAAATAGCCCTATTGCACTTAATCTAATTAGGGATTTTTGGAGAAATGGTGGTTACATAGTTCTCATTAACTGACTAAAAAACTGTACCATCTCCAGAGGTATAGATATTAAAAAGCGGGGGAGGGGGATGATTCCTTTTAAAGCTCCAGAAATGAATGTAAGTGTTCATATTCTGGTACATTAACAGTTTGTTCCAGTACATTGATATTTTATGTGGAAGCCCTACTCTGCAATTAATATGCCTGATGCAAATTGAAAAACCCATAATCCATCCTTCTCTGTTGGAATGTAAGAGTATATTATTATTGAGAAGCTACAGGATACCAGAACCATTTTTTAAACTTGACTGCTCACTACCTTAAATCTGCATATAAAACAGTTTTGCATTCAGACGAGGTAATACATACCGGAATATATTGTGGCGCATATTAAAAAAAGTGCTCCAAATAAAAACGACCTGTGGGCTTCCTTTGTAGAAGAAATTTATGCAGTTCCAGGCATTAGGGATTAATGACAGCTAAGAGCAAAAGAGAAGGAATGAGCATTAAAACATTGTGCCTAACTTTCCTGACTACCCCAAGGCTAAAAGACAAAGTGAATTGTCAAATCTCCTTAAAGGTAAGGACTATGAATTTATATTAAGTAAATATGATATTTGGGGATTGCATCTGGTTCTGTCACATTAGTATTCAGTATATTTCTTATAGCTTTAAAGGAGAAAAGACAACCTTAATGGAGGTATGAGAGAAGAAAGATTTTAAAAATCCTTTGTTTCTAACAGCTTAGAGAGCCTCTTTCCTTTGTCTTGTTTCCAAAATTATGCATACAATTCTTCACAGGACATAAAATGCTATTGTCTGCTATGACTGACAAAATCCAAGATTTTAATGAAAGTTATACTGTAACTATTTTAAAGGGAAGGGGAATCACACATCCCTAAGAGATTCAAATGTAATATATTCTCAAAAATGGAAAGATCCCAGGGATACAGATTTCTTTCTTTCACGGATTTCTCCTAAGCCTGTTCAATTCATTTGATCATCACCGCCTGTGATCTGGGTTTTATTAACATTTCAGCATTTGATTGGACCCTTCTTACCTCTCTGTCTATCCATCACTTAAGACATTTAGTGCTGCCTACTGGCAGTTATCTGTGTAATTGTTTTATTTCACTCACTAAGTGATAAGATCCTTGAGGCAAGACGCTATGCGATATGGCCTGTATCTTCCACAATAAGTAATCACATTGATTCAAAAGATTCCCTCACAATACATTTTTATTGCAAAAATGATTTTGTATTTATCCATTTTGGAAAAGAAATTTTATCTCTTGAGCCCCTAAAAATGGAATTGTACACATTAAGACCCTTACACATATCACATAATAATCTTCAGGGTCAAACATTATAGTTTTCACCTGCTGCTATTCCTTTGCAGTAGACTAGAATAGAGAATTATATAAAACTTCTATGACTGTCAAAAAAATGATATATTTTTTGAAATCATGTAAAATCAACCTTCTTTATTTTACAGATATAGAAATTTAGATCTGTAAGGACCATCAGTGTGGTGAAGGTCACATGGTAAGTTAATTACAGAATCAAATTTTTCCCTTTCATTTCAATCTGTTTTTAAGTTTTACATGATTCCACTTTCAGGAAAAAGCAATTAAAATACAGACTGGCTTTGGTAAGAGTGATATATATTTTTATGTTTCAGACCAGCATGTTGTTTCATGCTGATGTTAAAAGATAATGGTTGATATCAGATAAATACCCACACATACACACAAACACAAACTAACTTGGGGTCCAATAAAATAAGACTGGGTGGTTCACATATTTTTCCATTAGTGCAAATATTTTACAGAGATAATTTTCTTTGATAAAATCTGTGTTCTTAAAACTGATTAACACATAGTCCTTACTAGAAACTCTTTACAAAAAAAAAAAAACAAAAAAACAAAAAAACAAAAATGAGAGTGCAAAAATTGAGAGAATAAGTCAAAGGAAAAAGAGAAGTTCTCCCATAACTTAAATTCATTGTACCTGTACATTAATCAAAGAACAAAATTGACTGTCATGTGATTTGACTCATGCTAAAATGTCCCTCACAATGAAAATAATCTCTTTTATTGGCCCCTCACAGTGTTTAAAATTTTTCACCATTTAAAAAAAAATTGACTTAAAATACTTCATCTTCTGACATTTTTGTTCACAAAAATAGTAAAAGTAAAGGAAAAAGGTAGATAATATACCAACTTTGCAGGGTATTGCAGGAAGTTCAGAGAGGGAAAGAAAGAGGAACTATAAATAGTTATCATAAATTACAGCTAAATATTTTAGTTTAGCATAAAGAGGGTATGATGAATGTAAACAACATCACATATAGTTCAAAGTAGAGTTGTGGAATTAGTTTTCCATGACAATGTTTAAGAATTGTACAGCTTTGCTGTTATCTAGTGATGTGTCCCCACCCAAATCTCACCATGAATTCCCATGTGTTGTCAGAGGGACCTGGTGGGAGGTAATTAAATCATGGGAGCAGGTCTTTCCCATGCTGTTCTCATGATAGTAAGTTTCATGTGATCTGATAATTTTATAAAGGGAAGTTTCCCTGCACAAGCTCTCTTCTCTTGTCTGCTGCCATGTGAGACATGCCTCTCACCTTCTGCAATGATTGTGAGGCCTCCCCAGCCACATGGAACTGTAAGATCATTAAACCTCTTTCTTTTGTAAATTGCCCAGTCTTGGGTATGTCTTTATCAGCAGTATAAAAACAGACTAATACAGTAAATTGGTACCAGGAGTGGGGTGGGACTCTGTTCTAAAGATAACTGAAAATGTGGAAGCAACTTTGGAACTGGATAACAGGCAGAGGTTGGAACAGTCTGGAGGGCTCAGAAAACAACAGAAAAATGTGGGAAAGTCTGGAACTCCCTAGAGACTTGTTCTATGGCTTGACCAAAATGCTGATAGTGATATGGACAATGCAATCCAGTCTGAGGTGGTCTCAGATGGACATGAGGAACTTGTTGGAAACTGGAACAAAGGTGACTCTTGTTATGTTTTAGCAAAGAGACTTGTGGCATTTTGCCCCTGCCCTAGAGATTTGTGGAACTTTGAACTTGAGAGAGATGATTTACGGTATCTGGCAAAAGAAATGTCTAAGCAGCAAAGCATTCAAGAGGTGACTTTTTAGCCGGACATGGTAGTGTGCGCCTGTAGTCTCAGCTACTCGGGAGGCCGAGACAGGAGAATTGCTTGAACCCAGGAGGGGGAGGTTGCAGTGAGCTGAGATCATACCCCACTGCACTCCAGCCTGGGTGACAGAGTGAGACTCCCCAAAAAAAAAAGATGTGACTTGTGTGGTGTTAAAAGCATTCAGTTTTAAAAGGAAAACAGATCATAAAAGTCTAGAAAATTTGCAGCCTGACAATGTGATAGAAAAGAAAATCCCATTTTCTGAGGAGAAATTCAAGCTGGCTGCAGAAATTTGCATAAGTAGCAAGGAGCTGAAAGTTAGTCACCAAGACAATGGGGAAAATGTCTACAGGGCATGTCAGAGACCTTTGTGGCAGTCCTTCTCCTCACAGGCTGGGAGGTTTTAGAGGAAAAAATGGTTTCATGAGGCAGGCTCAGGTTCCCTCTATGTGCAGTCTAGGGACCTGGTGCCCTGCATCCCAGCTGCTCTAGCCATGACTAAAAGGGGCCAAGGTACAGCTCAGGCCGTGGCTTCCAAGGGTGCTAGCCCCAAGCCTTGGCAGGTTTTACATGTTGAGCCTGAGGGTACACAGAAGTCACGAATTGATTTGGCAACCTCTGCCTAGATTTCAGAGAACGTATGGAAGCACCTGGATGTTCAAGCAGAAGTTTGCTGCAGGGGCAGGGTGCTCATGGAGAACCCCTGCTAGGATATTGTGAAATGGAAATGTGGGGTGGGCACCCCCACACAGAGTCCCCACTGGGGCACTGCCTAGTGGAGATGTGAAAAGAATGCCATCATCCTTCAGACCCCAGAATGGTAGCTGTACCGACAGCTTGCACTGTGCACCTGAAAAAGCTGCAGACACTCAATGCCAGCCCATGAAAGTGGCTGGGAGGGAGGCTGTGTCCTGCAAAGACAGAGGTGCAGAGCTGTTCAAGACCATGGGAACCTCCTCTTGGATCAGTGTGACCCAAATATGAGACATGGGGTCAAAAGAGATCATTTTGGACCTTTAATATTTGACTGCCCTGCTGGATTTCAGAATTTCATGGGGCCTTTGTTTTAGCCATTGTTTTTTCCATTTGCAACAGCTGTACTTACCCAATGCCTGTACCCCCATTGTATGTAGGAAGTAACTAATTTTCTTCTTATTTTACTGACTCATAGGTGGAAGGGACTTGCCTTGTCTCTGATAAAACTTTGGACTGTGAACTTTTGAGTTAATGCTGAAATGAGTTAACACTTTGGAGGACTGTTTAAAAGGCATGATTGGTTTTGAAGTGTGTGGACATAAGATGTGGGAGGGGCCAGGGTGAAATGATAAGGTTTGGCTGTGTCCCCACCCAAATCTCATCTTGAATTGCCATGTGTTGTTTGAGGGACCCAGTGAGAGGTACTGAATCATGGGGGCAGGTCTTTCCCATGCTGCTCTGGTGACAGTGAATAAGTCTCATGAGACCTGATGGTTTTATAAAGGGAACTTTCCCTGAACAAGCTCTCTTCTCTTATTTGCTGCCATGTGAGATTTGCCTTTAAACTTCCAACACAATTGTGAGGCATCCCCAGCCACCTGGAACTGTAAGTCCATTAAACCTTCTTCTTTTGTAAATTGCCTAGTCTTGGGTATATTTTTATCAGCAGCGTGAAAACAGACTAATACAGCTAGGGTGGTTAAGATAGAGATATGGGCAAGATAGAAATCCTTAACAATAAATACATACATTACATTGTTTCTTCCATCTAGGATGGTTCTTTTAACCTACAGGTAATCACTTTGTGTGTTTCATTAAGGTATTTTCAAAATCTCTTTGAACAGCATAACTTTTAAAAGCAAGTACTAATACTTTATAAAAGTATTTCATAAAGTAGTTTACAGTAACTGAGGTTGATTTGTGCCGTTAAGGAAAAAACTTTTACTTTTTTATTACTAAAAATGTATGTAAATCTCACTGGCACTGAATGCATTTTTCAAACAAATAAAGAGGCTTGAAATGGTGAACAGCTATTCTTTTCTGCCTACTAGGGATGAGAAAGTACAGGCTGTTTTCAAATTAAAACCGGAAGCATATACAATGAGACATTATGTGGACTGTTGTGACTATTAGGGTTGTTAGATCATGTGCTGTGTTACTGTGGGATGTTTGGGAGGATCCTTTGAATATATTTTATTATCAAAAATTTTATTTTTCTGATGTATATAATCAGAAACTCTTGAAGTAGACAACTATATAAATATTAAATGCTCACTTCCAATATAATATTCATTTGATTAATAAAACTGGAGACAATTTATCTTAGTTGGTGGATTATACTATACTCATCCTTGGTAGATTATACCATAAAACTGAAGTATTTCCACCTCAGGAAATATTCCCACCAGTTAAGTTGATGTGCATTGCCAGAGTATAGTTACTTTGTTGAATTTCCACATGTAAACTCTTTTATTGAATTAGATATGTAGAAAAGTCATTGTTCTATGCTTCATCACCAGTTACAAGTGGCATTTGTTCTTCTCTATATAAACTTAACATAGAAAAATTATAACCTACCTATCTGTATATTCTACACAATATAACTGCTAATTTTATCATCGGTGAGATGGTACAAATAATTCAACTGTCAAATTAGACTCATATGAAATAGAAATGTTTAATCATTTTTAGGATATAAAAGTCTAGTGTCTAGAGGCTCAGGGAGAACTAAGGTGAGAGGTTGAGTATTCACTGGATCTCTTCCTACTACGATAAATAAGTTCTGACACATTACTTACACAAAAGATAAAAAGTATCAGTAATAAACACTTCCATTTTATAATCAAATAGGCACAAAGGATGCATAATATTTTCCAGGAAGCGATGCCCCATATATCCATAGATTCTAGGGTTGCTTTTTTTTTTTTTTTAACACAGGAGATGCTAAACAACCAAGTACATGCTGCTAAAAACACCTTGCAGATAAAAACCCTCCCACTAGCTAACGTAACTAGCTTGTTTGCAAAAAGTCTGCTTTTAGCATGTTTACAAATGTATTAGTCTGCTAGGGCTATTATAACAAAGTATCATCAACCAGGTGGCTTAAGAGTGGGAATTTATTTTCTCACAGTTCTGGAGGCTAGAAGTCTAAGATCAAGGTGTCAACAGGTTTGGTTCCTCCTGCGGCCTCTCTCCTTTGCTTGCACATGGCTGCCTCCTTACTGTGTTCTCACATTGCCTTTTCTTGATGCAAGCACTTCACTGGTGTCTTTTCCTCTTCTTAAAAGGACACCAGTCCTATTGGACTAGGGTCCCATTCATATGACCTTAATTAACCTTAATTACCTCTTTAAAGGCCATATCTCCAAATGCAGTCACTTTGCGGGTTAGAGACTCAACATATAGGTTATAGGGGAACTTGATTTATTTCATAACAACAGGGATATGACTTTTATTTCCTTGTCCTCTATATAAAGGAAGAGCCTAGATAGCAGATCTGCTTCCCATCCTTTTTTTCTCAACGAAGAAGGATTTATGTTTTCCAAAAACAAAAAAAAACAAAAAACTCTTGAATTTTATCTCACGAGAGCAAATAAATTCAATCATTCAGCCCCTAAATGCCTCAAAAGTCTGTAGAATAGAGCAGCTTCAAAAGAACAAGTGGGAAGTAATGAGGAAGAGTAAGAGACAAAGCTTCACAAAGGCTGTGTTAAAGAAGAACTCTTACTCCTAGTGAATTCTGAGATGATATCACAGACTCAATTTATATGCAAACCTGAATTTAAGTGTACTAAAAATATAAAATTCACTTTGGAGCTAATGAAGTAACTTTTCATCCAAAAAAAATATATTACTTTAAGTATTTCTCCTGTAGTAAAAGTATTTACCGTTTTATTCATAGCTTTGGATTGAGCAAATATATCTTAAGATATATGTGTCATAATATAGACTATAACATAAAATGCGGGTGAACACAGTAACTCACTTTTACATCATAATCAAGTCATTAGCTTCTCATTTCCGCAATTAAAAGAAATATGTCTTATGAGCTATTCAAAATCTTAGGTTAGAGAAAGTTACCAAGTAATTAGCTGCCATTCTGGACACACAGAAATTAGAGTAACAAAACCAGTTCACACATAGATACATTCTTTGAGAGACAGAATAGTGGATTAACCACAAATATAAAGTAGAGAATGCAGAGAATGCCCCTGATGGAATTCTCAAGAAAACAATTTCTAGTGCACACAGTTGGCTGCCTAACCCTCTTACATTTTCCTTATCTTTCTTTTTTTTAACAGAATCCATATTTTATTCAGATATCCATTCTATCTGTAAATCGTCCCTGTGTTTAGGGAAAGATCAGCTTTATCCATAGAAGGGATATCTGAATAAAATAAACAGAACTCCCCAGTTCCAGAGTTGGGCCTCAGTTACTCTTAGACAATGTGGGTAATTATTTTCCCATTGCTCCTGGTTGTTTCAAAAAATCAGACATACATCAGTCAGTACCTGTGTTTGTAAATTGTTATCTGGGAATAACCAGACAGTGCAAATAGTTTCTATTATAATATAAAGAAGGAAAGACTTCTATTCATAAAAGGGGAAAACTCTTTCCCTTGTATTCACTGGATTTGAATGAGAAATCCTGTACTGCTCATTGCTCTTACCAGCCATTGCATACTACAAGGGGAAGCAGAAGTAGGATGAAGCTAATAGGTGAACTGCAGGGTGGAGAGGCAGAAAGAATGTGCTTCCTTGCTGAGATCTCTGAACCATAAATCAAGCAGAGCTGAAAACTTTTCTACCTATCTACTTCAAATATATAATATACAATCTCTTCATTGTTTAGGTGGGCTTTATTTGCAGGGTATAAGCTGTAAGCAAGTACTAATACTTTATAAAAGTATTTCATAAAGTAGTTTACAGTAACTCAGGTTGATTTGTGCCGTTAAGGAAAAAACTTTTACTTTTTTATTACTAAAAATGTATGTAAATCTCACTGGCACTGAATGCATTTTTCAAACAAAGAGGCTTGAAATGGTGAACAGCTATTCTTTTCTGCCTACTAGGGATGAGAAAGTACAGGCTGTTTTCAAATTAAAACCAGAAGGGCCAAAGATGTAAATAAATGTGACTGATAGAGGACAGCATAAAAGAAAAAATAAGTTTTTTTTTTTAAAGCAGGACTGTGAGAATTTTAATAGAGTCTAGATTGGTGAATAAAAAAGAATAGAATATCCCAAAAAGTGTATATTAATGCTCAAACCAGTAAAGAAATATGAGTTACCACTTTGTGGAAAAATAACATGGGTAGATTCATATGCCCCTACTGCGTGTAAGATTATTTTTAAAGAGATTAAAGCATTAAATGTAGAAAATAAAACCACAAAGGCTCTAGAAGTAAACATAGGACATTTCCTTTATAACCTTTAAGTGGTTAAGGTATAAGTAATTATAACTAAAAGTCTAGAAGCTAAAAGATTAAAAAATGGGTATATGTGAATACAGTAACAATAACTTCATGAAAAAATATTGTAAACATTCACTTCTCAGTCTTTTGGCTAAGATCAAGTGAAATATTGTAAACAAATTGAAACTACAAGTAATCAAGTAAAGAATAATATTTACTCTTCATATAGTATAATTTCTTTACTATATGAAGTGTTTCTAGAAATTTATGAGCAAAAGACTCAAACTCAAAAGAAATATAGGCAAGTATATAAACAATTGATAGAAAGTAAATGCAGGCCGTCGCGGTGGCTCACACCTGTAATCCCAGCACTTTGGGAGGCTGAGGCGGTTTGATCACGAGGTCAGGAGATCGAGACCATCCTGGCTAAAGCGGTGAAACCCCGTCTCTACTAAAAAAAATTAACCGGGTTTTGTGGCGGGTGCCTGTAGTCCCAGCTACTCGGGAGGCTGAGGCAGGAGAATGGCGTGAACCCGGGAGGTGGAGCTTGCAGTGAGCCCAGAATGGCGTGAACCCAGAAGGTGGAGCTTGAAGTGAGCCAAGATTGTGCCACTGCACTCCAGCCTGGGCAACAGAGTGAGACTCCATCTCAAAAAAATAAATAAATAAAATAAAAATAAAAAATTAAGTAAATGCAAATGACTTTTAAGTATACAAAAGTGTATTCAAGTTCAACCATAATAAAACTACAAATAAAACTCTATCAATATTCTTTCACTTATTAGAATAGCATATTTAATAACACAAACTTCAGCAAACATATAGAGAAGTAGGTACTACCATTCATGCATCCACATGATTGGAGTATAAATTAGTACATATTTATCAAATAAAAAATGCATGTGTGCATGTCCAATCAATTATACTCTAGGCAGATTATCCTAAATAACTACTTACATATAAAACGACATATATGACTATATTCATTGCAGAAAAATATATAAGAACAAGATTCTGAAAACAACAAAGTTTTTAATATAGTACGACTTAATGATGACACATCCCTTTGATGTTCTGCAATAGTAAAAATACTGAAAATTTTCTATATGTATTAACGTGGAAAGTTTTTCAAGATAAATTGCTAACGAATAAAGCAATGTGCCAAAAGGATACGTGTTATGCTGTCCAAATAAAGGAAATCAATAATGTATTTTGTTATCTCTTATATATACATAAAATACTTAAGACACCAAGAAGCTGTTGTTAAGAGGTAAGAACTGGGCAGACAATAGAAAAGGATAGAATGTGGAATTTTCCAATTCTGTATCATGTAAATGCATCACCTGTTCAAAAAATAATGTTCACGGTTCCCTACATTTTCTGAGAAATATCCAACTCTTTAGCCAGTAATTTACAGCCTTTCAAAATTGTTCCGGTAATATTTCATTTTTCTTGCTCATGCTAAACCACCTTCTCATCAAACTATTCAGTACCTTAAATTCTACTAAAATTTCTTTGTGGCATCACACACATACCCATTTCGATACACTCTTTTTCTATTATCACCTGTAGAAACCTACATAACTTCACAGCACATCTCAGATGCCAGCTCTTTCAAGATCTTCTCTGATAAACCCAAGGAGAAATAATTTTTCCCTCATCAAAATCCTTAGTGCACTTGGGATTACATCACATATTCTTCTTATAGGAGTGGTCTTTCTATTAGCATTGAAGGTCCTTAAGAGCAAGATTGCTTTTTAAACATCTGTATTTCTTAAAGTATTCTGTGCAAAATACTATGCTAAACCCTGTATTTACTCAAACATTTTAGCTTAATGAATTAAAATATGACTCAAAATGGAATGGTAAGTTGTTCCATCTTAATATATTAAGAAATATCACCAACAGCAACTACATCAAGAAACCAAGAAGACAAACTTTAATGGAATATTTGATGGACGCTGAAGTGAGTCTATTAACAAAAACAAACAAAAAGAATCAGGGACTACATTTGCCATTAATTCTAAAATTGTTGCCATTTAGGGCCTCACTGAAATATAGGGCCAAATAGCTGTTGCTCTACCAGTAGCAGTTCTCATATTAAATGATGAATTTGCAAGGCATGCCCCCTAGGATTTCATCTGTTCTCCTTGAGAAAATGTCAATAACTTCTATAAAGAAAGAGTGGCCCTAGTTAGAGTTTTTTAGTTCCAAGTCTATGTTTAACCCATTAAGAAATAATTCATACTTAGTATATATTTTTAAAAAACACTAAAATATAGTCTAAATTTTCCTGATTTTTTAAACTATGTAGGAATTATATAATAAAATGTGATTACCTAAGAGAATGTTCTGGTTTTTAGGACATATACAATAAAGTACTTAGGATTAAAATAATAAGATGGCTCCAATTTGCAAATAGTATAGAAAGGAGAGAGAGAGAGAGAGCACACTACCAATATATTCAAATGTAATTTAGAAAAAAATCTGGATAAAAGGGTATATAGGACTTTCTTCTACTATTCTTGCAACTTCTTTCTAAGTTTAAAATTATGTCAAAATGGCTGGGCGTGGTGACTCACACCTGTAATCCCACCACTTCGGGAGGCTGAGGCAGGTGGATCACCTGAGGTCAGGAGTTCGAGACCAGCCTGGCTAACATGGTGAAACCCTGTTTCTACTAAAAATACAAAAAATTAGCCTGAATTGATGGTGAGCACCTGTAATTCCAGCTACTCGGGAAGCTGAGGCAGGAGAATCGCTTGAACCCAGGTGGCGGAGGTTGCAGTGAGCCAAGATTGTGCCACTGCACTCCAGCTTGGGCAACAAGAGCAAAACTCCATCTCAAAAAAACATAGTATATAAAAATAAGAGTTACACACACACACACACGTTAATGTCCAACCAGGCAAACTGAGTCTATGTTAAAATTCGGTCATCACCTGTAAACTAGTTCAACCATTGTGGAAGTCAGTGTGGCGATTCCTCAAGGATCTAGAACTAGAAATACCACTTGACCCAGCCATCCCATTACTGGGTATATACCCAAAGGATTATAAATCATGCTGCTATACAGACACATGCACATGTATGTTTATTGCAGCACTATTCACAATAGCAAAGACTTGGAACCAACCCAAATGTCCAACAATGATAGACTGGATTAAGAAAATTTGGCACATAGACACCATGGAATACTATGCAGCCATAAAAAAGGATGAGTTCATGTCCTTTGTAGGGACATGGATGAAATTGGAAATCATCATTCTCAGTAAACTATTGCAAGAACAAAAAACCAAACACCGCATATTCTCACTCATAGGTGGGAACTGAACAATGAGAACACATGGACACAGGAAGGGGAACATCACACTCTGGGGACTGTTGTGGGGTGGGGGGAGGGGGGAGGGATAGCATTAGGAGATATACCTAATGCTAAATGACAAGTTAATGGGTGCAGCACACCAGCATGGTACATGTATACATATGTAACTAACCTGCACATTGTGCACATGTACCCTAACACTTAAAGTATAATTTAAAAAAAAATCTCAGAAACTAGAGTCAGAAGAATAGCCAAAAAAAAAAAAAAAAAAAAATTCAGTCATCACTATCTTTAATGGATGGAATGGAGTTTAGAGTAAATAGTGCAGGGAAGGTAGGGTTATGAGGTTTTAGTGTTCTCTTTCTTAATCTGCATTCTGATTACCAGATTATTGTTCACTTGATAAAATTTTATCAAATTGTGCCCTGATAATCAGAATGTAAGAATGTCACATTTTCTGTAAGATATCCTTCAATGAATTTTAACAAAAATATTATGAAAAAATAAATTTCTCTTTTTTTTACTTGATTACCCTATTATAGAATGCATATGTTTAGTGACTTTGTATAGTGATAAGAAAATACCTCAAACAGGATTTTAAAAAACGTAAAAAGATGTAAATGACACTTTTCTTTATTTTTTATTTTATTTATTTATTTATTTATGATAGGATCTCACTCTGTCACCCAGGCTATAGTGCAGTAGCATGATCACAGCTAATTTCAGCCTTGACCTTCTGGTCTCAAGTAATCCTCTCAAGGCAGCCTCCCATTTAGCTGGGACCACAGACACGTGCCACTATGTCTGGCTAATTTTTTGAATTTTTGGTAGACAGGGTCTCACTTTGTTGCCTAAGGTGGTCTTGAATTGCTGGGCTCAAGCAATCCTTCAGCCTCAGCCTCCCAAAGTGCTGGGATTATACGCATGAGCCACCAGGCCCAGCCACTTTTCTTTAATTGAAGTGCTATAGCCAATACCAAAGTTGATGGCCTCCCATCCAACTTACAATTTACAGTATAGCACCTATACATTTAGTCTGCTGCTCTAAATGTCTCCCAGTAATCAAACTGTGTGTGAAATTCATAGTATGGGGCATACTATTTTTTAATCATTCTAACTACTGTAATTATGTCCTTATCTGTATTCATGTCCTGAAAGTTTATGCAAGTAAAATTAGCATAATGACATTTAAGTTATTTCATGTTTATGTGCATGCATTTACTGGACATTGCTATTTTTTACAACCTTACATTTTAAATTTCTACTTTTCATCCAAGAACTCTCTCAAAATGTTTGACTTACCTTCTTTTGTTTTTACATTTTTCTGTTCTTCAATTTTTTCATTCATCCAACATATACTTAAATATCTAAGTTTTAAGGTAACTATATGTGCCGGTATATTTGCCTATAAATCATCATGCACATAGAAAACACTTTTAGAAGCTTCCTCTTTCATACCAAATTCAAACCATAAGGTCTAAAGGAAGTACTTAGAGGTTGTGGTATACACACATTTATTTTACTGAAAACTGAAAATAACGCAGACAAAAGGATGAAACTTATTGGGAATTGGTATGATATATAAGATATCTTTCACTCAGAAAAAAAGTAAGAATATACCATACTAAGTTCATTTTCTTCAAAAATTTGGATCCTTTCATTTTCTAGGGCTGCATATCCTTTTTCCTAAAGAGGAACTCCACATTTTATAAGTTGCAGTTCCCATAAAGACTAGATCTGTCCCTAGTTTTGATGAACTATACCTGGGAAACCAGAGGTATGGCAATCCTAAAACGAATATAGGAAAAGAGTTCCAATAGACACAGATTCCCTTCCCCTGGTGAAAATGAAGATAGAAACAACAACAAAAAAAGATATTATGTAATATAAAATAAAACAAATGTTCATTATATTTGAACCTGTATTCTCTTTTCTAAACTGAGTTTCAGAGGGCAAGGAACATGTCTGTCAGATACTACTTTCTATCCAGTATACATAGTAGCTGCACAATAAACATTTATGACATGAATTAATTAGCGTTTCTCTGGCCTGCCAATGCCCTGTATATAGAAAATCTGTAAATTTCCACTAACTTTAAAAATACTCATATTTTCCTGGAACAGAAAGTAAAGATTACATGGCAGACAAAATTGCATCTGTCTACTAATGATTACCATGTAATCTTTACTAGATGGCCTTGTGGTTCTCAGTAAGAGTCAAGTGACAAAGGAGACAGAGGGAGCAAAGCTGAAAGACTTTAATAAACTCTCTTTGCAAATAATGTTTTTATTCAATGTCAACTTCTTATTAAAACATCCCAGGTCTTGACTCTTCTGAGTCTTTTATATACTTTTTTTCTACAACAAAGGAGAAAGCAATCACTATTGATTTGGGCACATATCAAAAAATGAAAAAAGAGAAATAAATAAATAGTTGCATTTCAATTGTGGCCACCATACAGCTAATAGTTTATCATAACTCTTAAAGGTTGGTCCCTAGGCTCTTATACAGGTTCACCCTTTGCTGACCTCTTACAATCTTTCTGTCAGCATTTTGAATGCTACTGATTCTGTGAGTAATATTTTCAACGGAGGTCAGACAGGCCAGTAAGTCCAGCGTGCCCTCTCACTTACGAATTCCCCTTCTTTTGTGGCTTTTCACCATGGGTTCACATGTCATGGACTCTACATCGCAAACTGCAGTAAACAAATTTCAATCGTGAGTGAAAGGAGAAAAAAGCAAATCCTACTTGACTATTGCTAGCTTGTTTACACCATAGGGCTAGAGTAAGCTGAAATCGACAGAGTATAAAGAAAAGAAGGTCCTCTTGAAGTAACACACACACTCATTTTCAGACTCATAGTTTAAATGCAGTCTTTTATTTGTCACTACCACTGCATTGTTATCAGAGGATTTATATGCCTAGAGCTGCCAGAAGTGTCACCAGCTCTGACAATGCCCATTTTGGAGCTTTTTCCGATGGCTTATTTTATTTATAGTCTTGATGAAACTGGGGCAGTCACAAAACTGATTAGCGATCTGGCAAACAGGGCCTGCTCTGCTAATGATCTGTGTAAATATTGTGCTGTAGAGCCTTTCTGTGACAGGTCATTGCTGCTAACAAACCGCAGAATGCAAACAGAGACCTGTGCTGCCTTCACTGCAGATGCACAGCAGCCAGCTTACACTGACAAAGCAAATGAAAATCCTCTTATTGTCGATCATCTCAAGCAAAATGGCCTAAAAATCAATTCTAGGATAGGCTTTCTTTCTTTCTCGAAGCTTTAATCTGGGGATGATGACAGTGATAATGGTATTTCATTATACACATAAAGTAAGAGAGAAAAACGTAATAAAACAAGATATAAAAGATGAATTTAAACAATGGATTGTGAAAGCCTTGCTGTTTGCTTCTGTTTTTAAAAATATTTTGCTATTTTTTCTTGGCTGCTGCCGTTACTACAGTTGTAGTCTGCACAGAATGAAGCCTTAATCACACAGTCATGCTGAAACATGTTTACAAAGGTAAAATTAATGGGTTTATCTTAAGCAAGATGTCTTTCTATGGCATCATTAATATGCTTTAGATTTTTTAAATAAATGTGTTTTTATTCTTCCAGTACATCAGAATTGGAATTGGAGTCATGTCAAGATGTTCTCACTGGCAAAGACAGGAGGAGGTTAAAATAGCTCCTTGTAGGGCAGTAACCTCGGGAGAAAAAGAACTAATAGAAAATAAATGGCGAGTATTTTTTTTGAATCATTTGTATGATAAGCTTATAATGTACTTGTCTCAATGCAGAAAGCACAAGGAAAAAATAAATATGTCCTCATCACATTGGTAGACAAAGCACTAAGCACGTAGGTTGTCAGAAATTCGATATCCCTTTCTCTTTTCTATATCCTCTACCAAACAGAAAGTTCCACATACATCTGAGACTTCAGTGTCTATGTGACTTGAGTACAATTTCCTTTTTCATCTTTGTTTTTCCTTTACTTACTCGTTTCCCTTTATTCTTACCTGAGATATAGAGAATAAAAAATAACACTATAGAATCAACCTTTTTTTCTAGGTAATTTAGAATAAATTTTCCAGAACATAAAAAGGGTAATGATGGCATTATGTAAATTTGAGACCAAAATTTTCTGAATTAAATTATTTTTACATAGATAATGGTTCACTTCTGATTAGGAACATTAAATAAAAAGTAATCTTAACAATATGACAATACAACTTAGCCTTCTTGCATTATCTTTTTTAGCCTAAATATTTAATTATTATAATTTGCACAACATCGAAATTATAGTGCAATTCTTTTCTTTACAAAATAATCACAATAAAGTATTTTAATCAAGCAACTGAGCACATACAATTATTATTCTATGTCCATAAAATTTTTTTGCAGAAAACATTTATATAAGAATTTCAGTAGTCAAACATTGAGTAGCAGGAAAATACTATTAAATTTTAAAAACCAAACAAGCATTGGAAACAGAAAAATGGATACGAAGAGAAGCAAGTATTCTCCTGTATTTATAATTGTGGTACTTTACAATATATGTAATATATCTTTAGAAAGATTAATTGTCTTTTATTCTCACAGAAATTCTATGAGCCAGGCAGAGGAACTGTTTTTGTTCCCATTTTACTTCTGTAAAAACTGAGTCTCAAAATAACTGCTCCCCAGAAGTATAGAATGATTAAAGGTCAGAAACAGAGCCTGCATATTTTCATATTTGTTACACTTTTTTAGCTATTGTTGTCCAAGAGTACTCTTACTTTTGAGATACTTTCTTTATTTCACTGTTCAGAATTTTTATATTTGTATGATTTAACAAAATAATCGGTAAATTTCATTTTTGGGGATTAAAAATTAGGTTGTGGAAGCTACATTAGGTTGTGGAAGTTGTGCCCCATCTGAGACAAATCTTGGATTAATCAGTGATTGATTAAATTATTGAAAGTTTAGTTATTCAAAGAAATTGGCATAGAAGTACATTAAGCTAAGCTTTATCTGGTAAGATGGAGAACTAACATGATGTGGGCTTCTTTCTGTGACCACAACCCTGGAAATGACACAGAAATCAGCATCTAATACTAAAAGATGTGAGAAACCTTTGCAGTTACAAACTACAGTAAAGTCTGCGAGTAGAGAAAAAAATGACAGCAAAGAGCAGAAAACTGAGATGTAAGGAAACCAGAATATGCTGGGGCGGAAGTTTTTAGTGGTCATCATTCCTTTTCATTGCATTCCTGTATTTTTTTCTGCTCTTTCAATAGTTAGAGTACCCACAGTGTGCAAGGCACTCTTCTAAATACTGAGAATACACTACAGAGCCAGAAAGACAAAACTTTGACCAAATGGAGCTCCCATTCTAGCAAAACTAGAGTTGAAAAGAGACCACTGCTAACTCCTTTAAAGCCATTTTGGAGTCGGCCAGGCAGAATATGACTCAACCTAGCTTGGAAAATGAGGAAATAGTGACAAATGCAGAAAGACCATCTGAACCCTAGGCATTCTCCTCTAACCCAGCTACTCCATACAATGAGTGTTAGGATGGTGATTAAAACTGAGGGAGACCAGTCTTGGTAAACAGCACCACCCAGGACACGTGAATACACCAACTTTTATGGAGGAGGAAGGCAAACAAAGGGTGGCAGAATCCAGTTATTTCCTAAGGAGTCCTTCATTCTAAACACTTCTGGTGGGTCAATCTTGAGCCTGATTTTAGTGCCATGTATTCTTAATCAGCATAATAAATCTTACTAGGAAAAAATAGGCCTCAAAGGAATTCAATGACTCTAAAATAAAATACATGTATATCAAAGACAACCAGATTTACAAAAATTAACAATAGTTTAAAATATGTGACCATATGTGGTGGTTTACGTCTGTAATCCCAGCACTTTGGGAGTCCAAGACAGGAGCATTGCTTGAAGCTAGGAGTTTGAGATCAGCTCGGGCAACCAAGAGAGCCCCTGTCTCTACAAAATAAATAATAATTTAAAAAAATACCTAGGTGTGGCGGCATGCACTTGTAGTCCCAGTTACCAAGGAGGCTGAGGCAGGAGAATCTCTTGAGCCCAGGAGGTCAAGGCTGCAGTTAGCTAGGAGGCTGTCACCACTGCACTTGCTCCAGCCTGAGTAACCGAAAGACACTGTCTCTGAAGAAAAAAAAAAGTTAAAATAAATCCAAAAATATGTATAGTAAATGTTCTCAAAGACATAAGGCACAATATTTGAACCTGAAGAAGAAATTAGCAATCATAAAATATTTTTTCAGTATGAAAACCATATCTGTTGAAATGAAGGATTAAATATATGGTATAAACAGCAGAAGGGTTAAATTTGAGGAGTGCTCATTAGTGAGATGGAAGATAATGTTCAAATAATAACAAATTTTTTTTTAAATTTAGAAAACTAGACTTCACATGTACTGCTGATGGGAGTACAGACTGATGCAACTATCCAGAGAGCAATGTGGAGTGAAATGAAATCCAAACCTATGAACCAGCAGTCCTACTCTTGATCCACATGGCAAATAAACTTAAGTTTAAACTCATGAAAGGATATGATATCCAGTAGAGACAATTGTTGTTGCAGGAAGTTGGAAGGAGGCAAAGAATCTATCACTGTAATACACACACACACAATTGTTTATAAAAATGGAATACAGGCCAGGTGTGGTGGCTCATGCCTATAATCACAGTGCTTTGGGAGGCCGAGGCGGGCAGATCACAAGGTTAGGAGTTTGAGACCAGCCTGTCCAATATGGTGAAACTCCATCTCTACTAAAAATACAAAACTTAGCCAGGCGTGGTGACACGCGCCTGTAGTTCCAGGTACTCGGGAGGCTGAGGCAGAAGAATCGCTTGAACACGGGAGGCAGAGGTTGCAATGAGCCAAGATCACGCCACTGCACTCCAGCCTGGGCAACAGAGCGAGACTCCATCTCAAAAAAAAAAAAAAAGAAGAAGAAGTAATAGTGTGCTGTGCAGCATGAAAAAAAAATGAGGTAAAGATACACACGATAACAATAATAGGTCTTAATAATATAGTGTTGGATTTACAAAAGTAAAAACTATATATACAACATATAACTCAAAAACAACCACAAAATTTTATAGTTTTCAAAAAATGCATATTCAAGGGTCTACCACAAACACATGAATGCAATTGAAGTAAGAGGGAGAAGCAGAAGGAAATAAAAATAGAGATTAGAGATTAGGGCAAGATAAAATAATTAGATAAAATAAACCAAGAAATTCCTATTTTATTTATCATGATAAGAATGTACTTTAAAAAGAGGATGACTACATAAAATGAGTTAGGGAGGAGTACCTCTTTTTCTATTGTTTGGAATAATTTCAGAAGGAATGATACCAGTTCCTCTTTGTACCTCTGGTAGAATTTGGCTGTGAATCCGTCTGGTCCTGGGCCTTTTTTTTTGGTTGGTAGGCTATAATTACTGCCTCAATTTCAGAACTTGTTATTGATCTATTCAGGGATTTGACTTCTTCTTGGTTTAGTCTTGGGAGAGTGGATGTGTCCAGGAATTTATAAATTTTTTCTAGATTTTCTAGTTTATTTGTGTAGAGGTTTTTATAGTATTCTCTGATGGTAGTTTGTATTTCTGGGGGATCAGTAGTGATATCCCCTTTATCATTTTTTATTGTGTCTATTTGAGTCTTCTCTCTTTTCTTCTTTATTAGTCTGGGTAGTGGTCTATCTATTTTGTTGATCTGTTCAAAAAAACCCCTCCTGGATTCATTGATTTTTTGAAGGACTTTTCATGTCTCTATCTCCTTCAGTTCTGCTCTGATTTTAGTTGTTTCTTGTCTTCTGCTAGCTTTTGAATTTGTTTGCTCTTGCTTCTCTAGTTCTTTTAATTGTGATGTTAGGGTGTCAACTTTAGATCTTTCCTGCTTTCTCCTGTGGACACTTAGTGCTATAAATTTCCCTCTAAACATTGCTTTAGCTGTGTCCCAGAGATTCTGGTATGTTGTGTCTTTGTTCTCATTGTTTTCAAAGATCTTATTTCTTTCTGCCTTAATTTCATTATTTACCCAGTAGTCACTCAGGAGCAGCTTGTTCAGTTTCCATGTAATTGTGCGGTTTTGAGTGAGTTTCTTAATCCTGAGTTCTAATTTGATTGCACTGTGGTCTGAGAGACTGTTTGTTATTATTTCCATTCTTTTGCATTTGCTGAGGAGTGTTTTACTTCCAATTATGTGGTCGATTTTAGAGTAAGTGTGATGTGGTACTGAGAAGAATGCATATTCTGTCGATTTGGGGTGGAGAGTTCTGTAAATGTCTACTAGGTATGCTTGGTCCAGAGCTGAGTTCAAGTCCTAAATATCCTTGTTAATTTTCTGTCTTCTTGATCTGTCTAATATTGACAGTGGGGTGTTAAAGTCTCCCACTATTATTGTGTGGGAGTCTAAGTCTCTTTGTAGGTCTCTAAGAATTTGCTTTATCAATCTGGGTGCTCCTATATTGGGTGTATATATATATATATATATATATATATATATATATAATCGTTGGCACTCCTTGTTGCATTGATCCATTTACCATTATGTAATGTCCTTCTTTGTCTTTTTTCACTTTTGTTGCTTTAAAGTCTGTTTTATCAGATACTAGGTTTGCAACCCCTGCAAGGCTACAGTAACCAAAACAGCATGGTACTGGTACCAAAATGGATATATAGACCAATGGAACAGAACAGAGGCCTCAGAAGTAATGCCACACATCTACAACCATCTGATCTTTGACAAACCTGACAAAAACAAGTAATGGGAAAAGTATTCCCTATTTAATAAATGGTGCTGGGAAACTAGCTAGCCATATACAGAAAACTGAAACTGGACCCCTTCCTTAACACCTTATACAAAAATTGACTCAAGCTGCATTGAAGACTTAAACATAAGACCTAAAACATTAAAACCCTAGAAGAAAGCCTAGTCAATACCATTCAGGACATAGACATGGGCAAAGACTTCATGACTAAAACACCAAAAGCAATAACAATCAAAATTGACAAATGAGATCTGATTAAACTAAAAAGCTTCTGCACAGCAAAAGAAACTATCATCAGAGTGAACAGGCAACCTAAAGAATGGGAGAAAATTTTTGCAATCTACCCATCTGACAAAGGGCTAATATCCAGAATCTACAAGGAACTTAAACAAATTTACAAGAAGAAAAAAAACAATCCCATCAAAAAGTGAGCGAAGCATACTAACAGACACTTCTCAAAAGAAGACATTTATGTGGCCAAAAAACACATGAAAAAAATTCAACACTGGGCTTTACAGAAATGCAAATCAAAACCACAATGAGATAAAAATGATGAATTCATGTCCTTTGTAGGGACATGGATGAAGCTGGAAACCATCATTCTCAGCAAACTATCGGAAGGACAAAAAAACAAACACTGCATGTTCTCACTCATAGGTGGGAATTGAACAATGAGAACACATGGACACAGGAAGGGGAGCATCACACACCGGGGCCTGTCGTGGGGTGGGGGGAGGGACGAGGGATAGCATTAGGAGATATACCTAATGTTAAATGATGAGTTAATGGGCGCAGCACACCAATATGGCACATGTATACATATGTAACAAACCTGCATGTTGTGCACATATACCCTAAAACTTAAAGTATAATTAAAAAAAACCACAATGAGATGCCATCTGGCATAAGCCAGTTAGAATGGATATCATTAAAAAGTTAGGAAACAACAGATGCTGGAGAGGATGTGGAGAAATAGGAACGCTTTTACACTGTTGGTGGGAATGTATATTAGTTCAACCATTGTGGAAGACAATGTGGTGATTCCTCAAGGATCTAGAACCAGATATATCATTTGACCCAGGAATCCCTTTACTGGGTATATACCCACAGGATTATAAATCATTCTACTATAAAGACACATGCACATGTATGTTTACGCAGCAGTATTCACAATAGCAAAGACTTGGGACCAAAAAAATGCTCATCAATGACAGACTGGATAAAGAAAATGTGAAACATATACACCATGGAATACTATGCAACCATAAAAAGGATTAGTTCATGTCCTTCCTGGGGACACAGATGAAGTGGGAAACCATCATTCTCAGCAAAAATACACAGGAACAGAAAAACAAATATCGCATGTTCTCACTCATAAGTGGGAGTTGAAAAACGAGAACACATGGACACAGGCAGGGGAACATCACACACTGGGGCCTGTTTGGGGTGGGGAGCTAAATAAATATAAATATAATTTAAATATATACATAAATATAATATAAAATGTTATGACTAAATTCTTTGTTAAATAAAAAGTGAATGAACAAGTAAACAAATGAATCAATAAAGGTAGATCAGTAAGATTGGACCTGTTACGTTTCTGATACACTTCTGTCAGCATCTATGCCAAGCTTTGCCTAATCACCTTAAGCTCCCAATGGTCCCAATTTCTTTATTCTTGACAAATGAACTCATTTCTACTTTATTGAAACCATCAGTGACCATCTATAAAGAGCTCCTTTATGTACCTATAAATCATCCTAGCTCACATTTTCCTACATTTGAAATCACCCATTCTTGAATTTTCAGTGCCCATTGTCCAGACTAACTTTTCCACTAGAACTTTAAATTCAATCAATTCCTTTTATCTCTAGCATCAAATATTCTCTATCAGCTTTAAGCTGTTAATCCTCTGTGGTTCCTCCTGTACTAATGCAGACTCATGCTAGTCCATTCCAAAAGACCTCCTTGATATGGCTACTATTACATAGTCCTTCCTTTATTAAAAATATTTCATCTCTAACTCCCTATTGTAACAATGTGTTGTTATGCTTTAAGTTTCTTCCTAAAATTTTTCATTAATAACCTACTAAGAAATAAAATATACTAACTTATAGTATTCTGTGACTAAGATATCTAAAGTTTGGTTTGATAGTCCATTTAAGGAGTAGATTTTCCCATCTCTCTCTTTGGGAAAAGGAACCTAGCCAAGCCCAGATTTGTGTGTCTATGTGAATCAGTAACACTTCAGGAAGGAAGTATGACATAGTGGTTAAGGTCACAATCTCTAAAATCAGACAAAGTATATTCAAATGTCAATCTTAGCAGTTATTAGGTATGTAAAGTTGAAGAATTTCATTACATCTTCTGATACAATTTTCTCATCTGCAAAAGTGTGTATTGGTAGTATAGGCATTATATTTTTGTGAAAATTAAATAAAACAATAAATACAAAGTAATATTTTTAGTGTTAGGCTCACAGTAAAGTGTTACTATGTATTATTGTCATTTCACTGTGGCTCTTATTTCTGAAGGACAGGACAGTCTACTAAATGTATTGTAATGTAATGAAAATAACTAAGCCATGTTATTCTATTATTTTGAAAAGTATCTCTGGTTTTTCATTCATTAAAAAACATGCCTCTCTTTTGGGGACACTCCATTGTCCTTTTCTTCTAGTCACATTGAAGTCTGTTTGCCTTTGAAGGCAGCCACATTAACTCACTGTCTACAGGGAAAAATCGCACCCCTTTTTATGGGAGGAAGTACAGATTTTTGATTCCTGAGTCCTGTTAATACAAGTAGCACCTCAGACTTTACCTAGATTGATATCCCTCTTTCTCCATTTCTCAGCTTGCAAAATGGAGTGGGCAATTGTTTAAGGGGAAAAGTGTATGTGCTTTCAAATTCCAGTTCACTTCTCATTAGTGAAAACTGTGGATTGGTGAATACAATTAATCTCCTGAATTATACTTTGCAAAAACAACCAACACTTTTTCTTAGACACAATACAATGCAATTTCATACTAAAGAAAGAATGTTACCTATTAGCATAATCATGCCCATTATTTTAATAACAATAAATGGATATTCATTATCCATTTTTGTGCTGAGAATCATTTGGTGTTTTATTCCTTTCCTATAGACCTGAAGGTATCAAAATGCTACAGCAGTAGTAAATAGTAATCTTTGTTGTTAGAGAAAGAGGCAATGGTTTTGATTACATTCTGGTTTGAGGTAATCTGATTGTGATAGCATGTTTGGTGAGAAATTTGTGATCAATTTCTTTCTAACATTATTATTTACTGTAATATTTTTAAAATCTATCAACCTGTCCTTTTAAGGCTTCTATAACATGAACCTATCCTGAATATTTTTGTTTCTGTCTAATGCTTTATTTCTTTTCTTGATTTTTAACTTTCCATCTAAACCATTACTTTTTCTCAAAATAGTGTAAACCATCATCTCTATGTAAATGAGTATACTAAAAATACATCATAATACCTATCCTGAGATCCAGTCTCAAATTTCCAACTTTTTTCTGGCCATTTTCATTTTTTACTTTGTTTTATGTATAAAGAAAACAAACAAAAACTAGCAAAAACATAAAACTGGCTCCAGCTCTTATGCCAGGTGCTATGAGTAAAGGACAAAGTTCCTGACTCAAGTTTCTCCTATTTATGTCAAAGGTACTATTGTCAAACTGATCAAAAATTTGTGGTCACAGACATTGTCATTACCTTGGTTTGCCTATGCCTACTCATATACTTAAATTCTTTTTTTCAATGATTTCTCAAATTTATTTCTACTTTCTTTACCTTCTGTGACCCTTACACTTAAAAGGTGAAAGTGGAAGACAGTCTTTTGATTTTTTTTTTTGAATGCACAAAATACATGTTATTCCCTGACTCTCCTTTTGATGGATAGCCCTTTTTTGAGCAATTTAAAATCATTTTCTTTTTTTGATTATTTATGAATAAAGTTCAAATTCTCACATCTAATATTCTAAATCCTTCATAATTTGTCCCAACATTTACTTCTAATTGTATATTCAAATATTCTGAAACAATCACATTATTCTAATGTATGCATTCTATACTTCTGAATGTTTTCTATGCTTATCACCAAATTTGCACTTGTCTTTTGAATAATCCATAATGCACTTTTCCTCTTCCCCATATTGTTGAAGAGTATCACATAATAGGAAGCTCTATTAACCTTTCTTTGATCATCATGGTCCACGATGGCATCTCCCTCCTTAGAAGATCCCCAATATATATTGCATAGCACTTTTCTGAAAGTTACTTTTTTGTGTTTATGTTTCTTATGTTCAGACTTGGATATTAAGTGACCTGAAGATAAAAGATCTGTATTCTACATCTTCTGTTCACACATAGCACTTACTGAGGAACTATACACATAGCAATTCTATAAAGTAGGGAGTGTTTTCTAGAAAAGAAGTGACTATGTGTTGATACGTCTCCTTCAATTTTATTAATAAACTTTCATTTACGAATATGTATTAAAAGTGTCTTTAGGCTCTCTTTGTATGTTTGACCCATTTCGTGGTAAATGTGAACAGTGGAACAAGATAGTTGCAGTGCTAAACTTAGACTAAAGGGAAGAGGAACTCAGGTTCTAGGCCAGCCCTTTAGAGTGAACCACAAACCACTTTCACCTTCCTCCCATGGGGGCTGGGAAGGAGAGTAGAAGGGGAAGTGGCGATGAGTCCACAAAACAAGTGAATGTGCTCATGTGAAACAAGACTCATGCCCATCCATGTGCTATGCCAATGTACCAATACTCAAGACTCTGGATTCCTCTTTAGGAGAAATAAAAGGTCCTAAGATTGCTTTCAAGGTCTATTCAAGGCCATTCCCTACATCAGCCTTTTTGAAGGTGGACTGGTGTGTACAACCCTTGGTCAAAGGGATGTCTCATGAGGAGATGCTGGACAAATAGGCTGCAGTATCTTGGATGTAACAAACCCCTCATCCAGCAAGATGGAAAGAGGGGTGGAAAGAGAATGAAATTGGCTATGACCTGGGGCCTCTTTCCAATCCTCACATTCCATTGTGGACCTCTCTTGGCAGTCCAAGAATGCAGATTTCAATTTAATTTTTTAAGTTGTTATGAAGTTGTCAATGTAGGAATTTCAATACACTTTAACAGTTCTTAAGCTTGATTGATGTCTTATAAATATGTAGTCATTAATATGTGGGTCTAGATTTGCAATACTTCTGAACTTCCACAAATGTTAGGGACAGGCCTGAATAGCTAACTTTTTTCTTTTATTTCAAGTTGACTTAATATTATAAAAAACATTTTATTTTTTCCTTTAATAGAGTCAAGTATACAGTTTCTGTTTTCATCCAGTAACTTTAGCAGAGACTTTTTCTCTCTGCTAGTGAAAGAGAGGACTCAGGTTTAGAGGAAATTTGCTTTTTCAGAACATTTGATCTTCGTAACACATCAAGATGTATTTAGAGAAAAGAACACACGGACTTAGTACTATTTATAAATAGCTTCTTTACCCTTACTCCTAAATTAAAACAAAACTAAAACCTAGGAAAAGCACTTGCATTATACAAAATTTATACTTTAGCTATTTCTACATTTAAAAATAAAATAATATAAATCACCAATTTTACGTTTTAAGCAAAAGTGTATTCTCAAACTTTATATTATTCAGCAATACCTATTACTCTCCAAGTATATGCATGTATCATTTCTCTCATTTAAAGTCTCTGACCACATCTAGAAAAAGTGAAAAATGGTGCAGTCATTACATTTTGGTTTTGGAACTGGGAATTTTATTTAGCACAATATAAATAATTAGGGAGTAATTCCTTTTATACTATTTTTCATCCACTTTTTTTTTTTTTTTTTTTTTTTGAGACGGAGTCTTGCTCTGTCGCCCAGGCTGGAGTGCAGTGGCGCGATCTCCGCTTACTGCAAGCTCTGCCTCCCGCGTTCACGCCATTCTCCTGCCTCAGCCTCCAGAGTAGCTGGGATTACAGGTGCCCGCCACCAGGCCTGGCTATTTTTTTGTATTTTTAGTAGAGCCGGGGTTTCAACATGTTAGCCACGATGGTCTCAATCTCCTGACCTCGTGATCCGCCCGCCTCGGCCTCCCAAAATTCTGGGATTACAGGCGTGAGCCACCGCGCCTGGCCTCTTTTTTTTGTTTGTTTTTTTTAACCATTTCTGATTTACTGAAACCCAGTCTGTATTTAATAAGGCTTAAACATTTGTATGTTTAATATAACAATATGTCCTCAGTGGCAGCTTGATTAGATTTGGATTTTAAAAGTCACTGTAGAAGGGAGGAAAAATATCAAAGAAGGGATACATACTGGTGACAAATACTTTTAAAATAGCATAACTCAAGTAACGCAAGTCAGTCTCGCCAGCCAAATGAAAATTATAGGTGGAAATCTCACACTGAACCTGGAGAATTTCCCGTTCCTGTTAAAGTATTTTCTTACTGATGTATTCATAAAACAATACTGTCCATTTATGTCTTTCAGAAACCATTCTATTATTTTCATTAACATACCTGTATATTAGAATAAAAACTTTACAAGGTTATGTTTTCATTTTCCACTTTTTTTTCTTGTTTCTGTATTACTTTTTATATCAGTTTAATTTTGGCATTTAACCTAGCTATCTAATACCTTGGCAGTAAACACATTTCCCACCCTTGCTCTTGAATATAATGCTGTCAGAGAGTGGGATATGAGAAAAGCAAGAGGTTTTCTAAAAGGAAAATATCTATCTATCTATCTATCATCTATCTATCTATCTATCTATCATCAGGAGGACCTAGAGACATTATAAAAGAATTAAATTCAAATTGTAAGATCATAATAAAGTTTAACACATCATGATTTATAAACTACAGATATAAACTAAGTAACTTGTTTAAAGCTCCAGGTGCTGCTTTCCATAATATTTTAAGTGAAATACTGTGTGTATAACTTAAAACCATTAGGCCATGAAGACCATGGAGAATATTTTAAGAATCAGTCACAATCTGAAGTGACATTATTGTTTTTTGTTTCAGTACACATTAGTACCAATAGTTAATTTTAATTTGTGGAATGAATCAGTAAACAATAAAAGGGTATGAAAGGGTAAAGCACAATTTAAAGTGTTTTGGAAAATGTGGTCAGAAAACAACATAAGATCAGTAGAATAATTCTAGCATATCCATCGAATAATTAATATTATCACTATAGTAAACATGATTTAGCTCACACTATTTGGCGAAAAGAAAATTCACTTGCAGTATTCTGCACATTGTGTTATTTCTGCTCAAATGACATACTTACAATAATTTGATTGAAATCATGTGACTCTCCTGAACAATCATGTTCTATCTTCTGGTTTAAGGCTATGTAGATATTAAGAGACATACAGTGATCCATCTTCTTTGTGTGGAAACGATCAAACACTACAAGTCAGTTAATGTGTTTTCAATGGTGAGGGGTTAATACCAAAAGATTTATATTAGAATTGTATAGCATCTATATTTCTAATCCTTAGTTATTTGTATGAACAATTAGAAGTCTGACCTGTTTGGAACTTATTTTGGGGTAAATAGGTTCCCAAGCCTTCTTGCAAAGGACATGCAAATAATGAAAATATGATATTAAGAACCACTCCACTGTTATTAAATGAAGATGAAAAGAATTAAATCAAAGTCTGCCATAGAATAATTTATAGATACCATATTGAACATTTTCTAAATATGCCCACATTCTTGGAGTGGCAGATAATGTGTTAACATTATAATAAGCATGAGTTAATAAACATTATGCATATTCTCTACTACAGATGAGTATACTTTTTGGCCCTTTTAATGAAGGATGGGAAATAAGCAACTCCCTGTAAGAAGAAGAACAGAAATGGATCCATTTTTGACTTGAAACTTTTATAAAAATAGCTGTATTTAATAATGTTTTACTTATCATGGGTACATTTTTTTTAACTTGTGTTCATAAGGTAGATTCATTCAGCAAAAGAGTAACCGGTACTAGAAGAGAAGTAAGAAATTCATGGCTGAGTTAATATAGTTAAACTATATCCGTCTGAAACTCTTTCTCTCTGAGGAAGCTTTTAAAATTATTTTTTTCATTTTTCCAGACCTTTTTTCTTGATCTCTGTATTTTCCTCTAAAGCGAAGACTATCAATGACATTCTTAAACTTTGAAAGATTTAGGATGAAGGGAATATTTACTTATATTTTAGAAATAGTGCAATTTTGGAGACTGAGAAGTCTCTCAGGTTATTATCATCAATGTAGAACTTACCAGAGATGACTTTGGCTTTCTAAAGCATCTAAAATAAGCTATAGTATGCCCATGTTCCTGCAGCATTGGACTTACATAATTTCAAATGTTAATAATACCTTTCATGGATGCCTTTACAGGTATGCATAAACAAAATATCTCATTTTTTTAAATCATTCTGCCCTCCATATGAAACTATTGGTCTATTAGATATATTTTTATTTTTTAACTGTTGATTTGAAATTATTATAGATTTACAGAAGGTTGCAAATATAGTACAGAGAGGTCTCTCATACTCTTCACCTAGTTTCCCCAGTGGTTACATTTTTTTTGTAGCTACAGTAAAACATTAAAACCAAGAAATTGATATTGAAAAAATGTGTATGCATACATCTGTCATTTTATTACATGTGTAAATTCTTGTGACCACTACCACTATCAAAATATCTAACACTTCTAGTGAAGTGTAAAAATCTTATCTCGTTGGAAGTCTCTTTACCCATCCTTGTTTATATAATTTTAAAAATTTTTCATTTAGGTATTGATAACCATTTCGATGTTACAGTTTTTGATTCAAAAGTCAAACATAATTTAGAAAACTCAAGAAGAAAAATCTGTTGTACTTATTCATATTTTTGCTCTTTCTGTTACTCTTACATTTTTCTGATGATTTCAGGCCCCTTATTCATTTTATGTTTCAAGAACTTTTTGCTTTTCTTTAGGGTAGGTCTGTTTGCAACCAATTCTTAATTTTTCTTCTTCTGAGAATTTATTTAATTCTCCTTCATTTCTAAAGGACATTTTTGCCTAATACAGAATTCTGGTTTGACAGTTCTTGTTTTGCAGTACTTGAAAAATATATCACTTCCTTTTGGCCACCATTATTTCTGACAGGAAATCATTGTCATTCAAATTGTTTTTCTTCTGGAGAGATGAAGCATTGTTTTACCTCACTGTTTCCAAGATTTTTTCTTCTGCTGTTTTCTGAAATTGACCTGTTTCTTTGTTGATTTTTTTGTATCTGTCCCGTTTTAGATTTTCTCATTTCTTGAATCTGTAGTTGTATGTCTTTTGCCAAACTCGAAAACGTTTTGGACATTATTTTTTCAAATATATTTTTAGCCCAACCCACTTTTGCCTTTCCTTCTAGGACTCTGATGACATGAATAGTAGATTTTTTGCTATAGTCTTATAGGTCCTTGAGGCTCTGTTCTTTTTTTTTTTTTCAATTTCAGTCTATACTCCCTCTGGTCTTTGGATTAGTAAATTTTTAATGTCCTATTTTCAAGTTCACTTATTCTTTTCTCTATTTCCTCCATTACCCTATTGAGCCATCAAGTATTTTTTAAAGTTTCAATTATATTTTTCGGTGCCAAAATTTCTATTTGTCTCTTGGCATCTTCTATTTCTTTGTAAAGCTTTCCATTGTTTCATTTGTTCCAGCATATTCGCAATTGCTCATTAAAACATTTTTATGGTGGTGGCTTTAAAATCCTTGTGAATAAATCTAATTTATGTGTTATCACTGTGTTGGCATGTGTTATCTCATTCAAGATGAGATTTTTTTTCTGGTGCTTGATATGCTGAGTAATTTTCAACGTATCTAGGGTAATTTGGATATTATGCTATGAGGCTCTGTATTTTAACTCTTGGAAATAAACCTCCTGTGACACCACACATGGTGAAAGTGGGGGTGCCTTGTTATTGCTAGGTGGTGATAAAAATTTATCCCTGCTCAACCACCTTTGGAGAGTGGGGGATTTTTTTCTTGTTTCTGCTCCCACTATGGCCTACACTGAAGGGAAGGCAAACATCAGGAGGCCTTGGACCTTTTTACCACTAGATGATGGTGAAAGTTCCAACTTCTCACTTAGTTTACTTTGACACCTAAGGAATCTGGTGGAGAAGGACGGGGCACATTGTAACTACCTGGCAGAGAAGAAAGTTCTAGATTCCCACACGGCCTTCTCTGATATCACCCAGACATTGATAGGCGGCAGGGCCTGTTAGTTTGTGTGTGTGTTTAAATTACACATTACCAATAGTATCACTTTGCATAAACCTATACTAAACTAAAAGCACGGACCCCACAGAAGATATGTAATTAAAGTTATCTTGTAGTATGCAGGTCTTTTTCACAGATGCATTCAGTGTGTGGTTTAAAAGGAAGTTAAAAGTTTAGTTCTAGTTACCATGCTAGAAGAACCTAATAGGTAAAGGATGACATCATCAAAGGCAGTGAAAGTCCTCTTTAATGTCTCAAGGCTTTTCATTGTGTATCACGAAATTTTGGTTATCTGTTTCTTTTCAGTAAATATTTAGTCTATTTTTCTAAGTTTAATATATTAGGATTTTCATTTTCATTAATCCTTAGTGTTTGTACTACTGATATTTGCACATACAGTATGAGAACATACATTTCAATTGATCATTTTTAAAAAATTTATTTGAGATATATCAAAAGTTCTATACCATATAAAGGAAAGTTATTCTACTATTCTAAAGCAGCTCATAAAATACAATGTACAAATAGGACAAAATACATGCAAGAAGCGGGAGAAATGTTCCTAAGCAGCTCCACTGATACAGTGGAGATATAATCTCTCCTCTCTATTGAATGAATTTGCTGAGGGTCGGTGCATATAGTAGTCAATGGAATACAAACCAATAAAAATATGATAGATAAATAGAATGAAAAGTATCCAAGGGTCAAGTGCTAAATCTGTTCTGCTGATTCCAGCTGGTATTTCCTTTTCTTCTTTAACCCACATGAAGACACTCTACTAAACAGTCATGTATAACTCAGGCATACTGGTTTTCATTTGTAATTTTCATTTTATTGCACTTTCAATTTTCAGGTTTTGTCCATCTTTCTTCCCCTTGGCCCTTCCATCACTTCTGCTACTTGATGAATTCTGTCTTAAACAGTAGCTAGAATATAAACATTTAATAAAATATTAACCTGATTGCTTGCCCTCCCTATAAACAATAAAATGACATACATGAACAAATGACAAATACAATATTTTATGTTGTGTTTATTTCTACCTTTCTCCAAGGCTTCTTTTAATCTTTATTAAAGTTTATTATAGCAAACTACTATCAAATATTTCCATGCATTTAACTGGTTATTGTAACATCAACACAAGAGAGCAAATGAAATTGTGAAGCTTGTACTTTCTATTGCTCTAAGGTGTCTATGCAGATCATTATGTATTCTTCACCACAGGTCAGTTGCTTAGCTACCAGAGAAGTAGAGAACTACTAATTGAAAGTATTCTGTATTGCTGGCAAGGCTTGCTGCAGGACGTTGAACTTGGAAACAGCAGAGACTGTGTCAGATAAAAATGTTGCAGAGGATGAAAGAAAAATAGTTGCAGCATTATCATACTAGGAATGGTTATTATTTACTTTATGGTAAATTCTGCAAAATGCTTTGCTGTGCTTCTGTTTTGTAAGATATTAAAATTGATTTTACTATTAAGGATCATTTACACAATCAGATTAAAAATCAGAGTTGTGGCATCTATTTTTAAAAAGTAAAACAGAACACAAAGGAGAAAAAGAAGAGGAGGACAAAAGGGAAGAAACAGAAGCAACAGCACTAAGTTAGATCCAGGTCCCTAAAGACAAGTAACAATATCTGTATGAACTTTTCTGATTGCTTATTTTATTTTGTAATGAAAACAAAGAAAGAGGATGAGGAGGAAGATGAGGATGAGGAGACTGAGGAGGAAGGCAAGGAGAGTAAGGAAGAGGAGCAAGAGGTAAAGGAGAAGAAAAGAAAAAAGAGAGAGAGAAGATTATTAAAAATCAAACTAAATACATATTGGAAAAACAATTGAAAAACAAACCAAAAGTAGCAACACTAACAGAGCAATAGTATAAACAAATTTATTCAAAGCATTAATTTTATATTAGTCTGTATCAGGCTTTCTAACCTGTACATTATATAAAATTAGGATTATTTTCTCTCTTCTTTCCATGTAATGTACAATTCATGTATCCATCAAAAATAGATGAGTGGTCATTGTGTGACATCTTTCACTTAATAGAAAAGACTAGGTCAGAAAAGAGAAAATGTCCTTCACAAGACCAAGACTAAGTTGGCTCAATTTTCCTGATAGCTTATTTGCTACAAGAATTCTGATATAATTCTGTATTTACAGGCTCATTCTCTCTCTCACACAATCCACAGGCATACAAAGTGTGTGTGTGTGTGTGTGTGTGTGCACATGCGTTTGACAAAGAGAGAGAGAAAAAGACTTGAATAACTGTTTCTTATGAGAATTCATTTGTGGTAATGGTTGCTACTTGTATTTCTATAAAGATTACTCCTAGTAATGATTGAAAAACAGGACATATGTTAATTAAATGTTCAGTGACTTTATAGTTAAATATACATATAATGCACATTCCAAGTTTTTAAAAAAATAACAATCAATAAATAGCTAAATGTTTTAAATCATAACTGGTCAGAATTTAGTTGTTAATATTCAGATACCATTTCAGTATCGTGTAGAGTCATTATGAATATCATTTGTCTGCAGTACTCTGAAGATAAAGGTGGTAAAACATGTGTTAGTCAATGGTCTACCTGTTATACAGCCTTTTAAAACAAATCCTTGGCATGAGATTGTCATTTGTCTGTTTCTCATAAAAGCTGAGTGTAGAACATCCTAAAAATCCAGTTCAGCTTTTTTATTCTTGTTACATTTCTGCAGAATTTTAATATAACTTTCCTTTTGTGTATTTATGCCTACTGTTTCTATTTACTTACGGGTGGCCTGAATTTTTTATCCAGAGATAAAGTTAATGCAAGAAAGAATTTAAAAATGTATGGTAGATTATCAAAATTCTTAACTTAAAAAAAGGTCAAATCCACCTTTGCTACAGCACACAACCTAATCTTATATCTGTTCATCTTTTTTGTCTTTGTTTTAAAAACACATACTTGATAATCATATTAGATGGTTACAGCTTTCTATTGCTGCATAATAAACCAGTCTAAACATAGCAGCTTAAAACAGCTAAGTAGCACAGATGGACCTGCTCATGATTCTTCAATCTGGGCTGAACTCAGCTGGGTGGCTCATCTCTTCCCTAGATGGTGTCTTCTGCTGGACTATTTAATATGTTTGTATTTAGAGGCAGCTCCATAGGGACTGGAGGATCCTAGCTGGCCCCATTCATATGTTGTGCTGGAATGACTAGAAACTAACTGGGTCTTCCTCTCTATCTTCCCAGTCTTTCATTCCTCCTGGTCTTTTTCATCATAAGGTGTCTCATCCACAAGGACGCTAACCTAGACATCTTTGCACAGTGGCTCAAGGTAAAAGACAGAGTAAACAAAAGCTATAAAGCTTCCTTAAGCCTAGGACTGAAACTTATACAGTGTCTCTTTAGCTGCATTCTCATGGCTCAACTAATTCACAAGGCTAATCTATTGTCTGGTTGGGAGGATAATGCAAGGACATGAAATCAAAGGACATCCATAATTCATTGGGGACTGTTTGGTAAGAATATGAGTTAAGGCTTAAATTTGTTCGAACACAACTGGTTCTAAAGCATCACATTGTTGTATTAGGTTTCCAGGGTTGTCATAACAAATTACAACAAACTTGATGACTTAAAGCAACAGAAATTGATTCTCTCACAGGTCTGGAGGCCAGAAGACAAATGAATGTGTTGGCAGTATTGGTTTCCACTGGAGACCCAGAAAAAACCCATTCCATGCTGTCAGCAATTCTTAGCGGTTTTTGTCTTTCCAGTCTCTCTGACTCTGTCTTCACATGCCTCCCCGCTTTTTCTGTGTCTTTCTGTTATTCTATCTCTTATAAGGACACTCATTAGATTTAGAATTTATTGTAATAGAGGATGAGCACACTTTATTACCTTATTACATCTTCAAAGATGCTTATTACGATTGAGGTCAGACTGTGAGATTCTGGGTGGACAAACCTTTTGGGCAAACACCATTCAACTCTTACGATTTTCTATCAAAATGTATAATTTTCTCCCATACTTTTTCAGTAATCTCCACCATAAAGAACTTGGATTTAGAACACTTGGATTCAGTAATCTCCATCATAAAGAACTTGGATTTAGAACACTTTTTTTCCACATGTATTTAAGCAATATTTCTCAAAGTATATTCCTGAGAAAAGTATTTCAGTTATTCTATGAGTAAAAAGTTTCTTGGTCATGCAATTTTGGAAATTACTGCTTACTATTAACACCTCCTGGATATTTGCTTTGTGCATTAATTTATTAATGAGAAATCATATAGGAAAATATGCTAAAATTTTAGGAAGCACATGTTTTTCCCAAACACCAATAAACACTAAATATCACCAATTTTATTCAAATGATACCTATCAACACCTTACAGAAAAAGGGTTATGTGTACCAAAGGTCCTGATTTGACCTATTGTGTTGACTACATGATATCTGTTTCAAAAATATAAACAAAATTACCATGAGTATTACTAAACATTTTAGTAATCTGTGCCCTTGCAATTCAGCAAGCCATTTCAACTACCTGGAATTTTCTTTCTCCTTTTTATGGATAACTCCTACTGGTCCTTTAGATATGAGATTAGAGGTTATTTTCCAAAGAAAGCTTTTCTTCACTCCCCAAAGATTCAGTTAGTTGTTCTTCCAGTGATTTTTATAGCTCTCTGTTCTTGGTGGTAATATATCACTGAAACACTCTACTGTAATTACCTTGGTTTTTGTTCTTTATTTAGTGTTCAACCATATGCTTGCTGAAGTTTAGGATGTTATTCGTCATTGATTTTTAAGACACAACAGATATTTAATCAATTCTTATTAAATGAATAGATGAGAAAATTTGACATTGGGTAGAAATCCTTTAAAATATTTTGCATGGAAATCACTTTTTGCTTTCAAAGTAATGTAATTAAAGACTTTTAGTTCCCACAGTTTGCAACAATAATCTTAGGAACTTAACTATTTGTTTTGTGAATATCTAGCACTAAACAATGAGCTAGAAATTTGATAAAACAGTTCAAATAATTTTTAAATCTCTTTGACTCAACTAGTCATGACTGAATTCATTTATACCATTAGGATATTAACACGTCTTTTAAAAAACAGTGTTAAATGGAGCTGGTCAAGCTATGCATTTTAAGAAGAAAAAGTACTCTCTTTTTAATAGGCTCTGCATAAGTAAGGCTATCCTCTTTTTCATAGTTTTTCAGAAACAATAACTTTGTCATTTTCTATACTTATTGATAATTTCCCCAACATATTAACAATTAAGAAATAAAGTTATGGCAGCCTAATTAGTCGAGTCAATACAGGAAGTAAATTGTTAAGACAGTGGGCATACCATCTTAGTTAGTAAGATATGGACATTCAACCACTCTCTTTCCCTACCCTAAGACACACACACTGTCAGAGAAAATGTTATGATGTGACTGAGAACTTTATGCTCAAAGCTTTCCAAAATTTCATATATAAATATTGTACTTTTATCAATATAAGATTTCACACTGTAAGAAAACATTGGCATAGGAATCATTCTCTTTTACACAGTTTGAAAATGAATTTTAATGACACTTATATCTGATAAATAATATAATGTCATGGAGTAAAAGTTATTTTCTTGATATAAATATTTTATCATTTGAGTATATTCTCCCTGAAATCTAGGTGTCAGTTTAACAAAATGCATTTCTCACTTCACTGAATATGACTCCAGGATAAATAAAAAAGAACATTCATATTCAAAAAAAGTAATTTATTTACCTAGTTTATCCCAAGATTTATACTGTCAATGCCTTCATTACAAATTAAGGGCTAAAATATATAGTAAGTTCCTGAAGCTCTACCAAATGTTATCTATACTAAGTAGAACTAAATTAAATCATTGTGTTAACTTTTTATTCCTATTAAAGGATTTAGTCTTCTTCTAGTTTAGCTATAATAACAAAAGCAAATGTACATCCCTGGTTTCTTGCCAATTATAGCTTGGTCACACCTGCCTAAGTAGTGTTTTATAATAAATACATGGTAAGTAAATTAGTATCCAACCCTCAGGCCTACATGGAATAAATTTGGTGGGGTACTTCTCCCTTGGGAAAAAAAATGTTGTTAGCATTTTTTGTTTGCTAGTATCCTTTAGACCTACTACCTATAAAAACCCCTCTAAATGAAGACTCCGGCAGCATTTCAATAAGCTAACTTCCATAGGTTTCTTCAGTTCATGGGGGTATTTTCCTCCTTTAATTTGCCAGCAGAGATCTGACATGAAAAAGTTCAGGTGCTGTTTTATAATATAAGAAAACATATACATGAGACTCCTTGTTCCTTGTCATAATCACATGTACAGTGCTTTAATTTCAACAAATCATATAGAAAAAAGAAGGTTGGTTTAAGTCATCATCACAAATAAAAAAGCCCATAAACCTACACCTATATTGTGGTCTTGTAATTCACCACTTGTAAGCTTGTAAAACCTAAAACTTAATATGCCTACAAATTTTGAATTTTTTAGAATATACTCAATTTGCTTCTACTTCTTCCATTGGGGTTCATGGCTATCTTACATTGTAAGACAGTTAGTAGACCCAGCAGAAATGACTTCAAAATATTTCTGGTTTCTGTGAAAGTTTGAAAATCTGTTGACTCCCTGGTTGTTCTGTTTGGAAGCCTTTTACGCGTTGCTTTCCCTTTCTTATTTCTCCTTACACACATACAAGCTCTTTTCTTGCCTATTGTGTGTACTTGGCTGATCTTCTGGGCACAGTGCCCAGTTGGTTTAATGTGTGCTTATTATTGTCTATAGCATTCCTGATTCTGTTTTGGAGATAGGTATTCTATGAATTATTAATGATTATTATCATCCTTTAGAATCAACTTTGCTTTTGGAATTTAGAAACAAAAGATGAACATTGAGCCCTATGGGTAATCACCAGCAATATCAAGGCCATGTCCAATGCTTGACTGTAAGGGAAAGGAATAGTGAATATACTGAAGTGAACAAAACAGGATTACTCCTATAAACAGATAAAATTAACAGAAGAAAACTTAAAGTTCAAAATGTATTACTTGAAAAAATGCTCGTAATATTATTTTACCATACCCATTTTACCATTTAAATATTACCAGTAGTTTTTTTCCTCAATATCCATTGATAAGCTTATTCTTTAAAAACAGAAGTGGGGAAAGTGCTAGCTTTTTTGCTTCTTATTCACAGGAACTTGTGCACCTGATGTAGTATAGCACATTCTCAAACATCTAATAGGTCACTTCTGAATTTTTCTCTGAATTTTGAATAAGATAAAAGTAATTTGAATTTAGCTATCATTTCAAAGAAGAAAAAAGTTGCATTTGCAAATTATTTACACAAGCACAAATTTTTAGAGAAAGAAATACTAGAGAAAGAAAAACATAGAGGAAAATAGGTGGTGAAAAAATTCTTTGGAAGTGCAAAAGAAAGAAAACGTTTATTGGCAATGACACATGATTATTAATCCCCATGTCTAAGTAAATTTGGGGTCTTTACCCTTGCTATAGTTTGGACATGGGTTATTCTCTCCAAAATTCATGTCGAAATTTAATTTCCCATGTAAGGTGTTAGGAGATCGTGCTTTGAAGAGGTGATTAGGTCATTAAGACAAATTAATAAATTTCTGGTGAAACTGGGTTATTTTTCATGATAATGGATTAGTTCTCATAAGAGCCGGTCATTCTAAAGAAAGTTGCCTCTTTTATAAAGCAATGATTTGCCTGATTTCCATTTTGTTTCTCTGCCTTGCTGTGACATAGCATGTGGCTCTCATCAGAAGCTCAACAGATGCCAATGCCATAGTCTTGGACTTTCCAGCCACCAGAACCATAAGCTAAATAAACCTTTTTTTCTTTATAAATTACCCAGTCTCAGGTGTTGTTACAGCAACACAACACAGACCAAGACAACACTACACCTGTAATACGTAATATTTTGAAATTAGATTTTAGCTTAGGAACAATACATACCCAATAAAGTGGAGCTCAGAAGACATCACTTAAGAATTGTTAAATAAGTGCCATCTTTTTGTTTTTATACTGAAAAACAAATGTATCGATTCTCAATTATTTTCTCCCTAATGTAACAATAATAACATAATATTGTATTTTCCAAAACCATTCCTCCTTTCTCTCAATTGTATGTATTTTTCCTTTTTTCTTTCTCCTTTTTCTTTTTGGAGTATGATAAATATTTTTAAATCTATCCTCCTGAAATTGCATCTAGGATTTGGATATATTTTGCTATAAATCTTTGCTTCCTTGGAATAAAAATATTCTCTACATTTTTATTATTCTAATGTTGATTCAGCTTTGGAGTTAATTTATATGCAAAGCAAATAATTTACCCAAACTTGTAAAGGATATGCATTATCAGAACACAACACCTGCAGGATTTCACATCACGACTATCTGTTCCATTACTTCCTCCATGTTAATGAATTCAAGTCTTGATTTTCTCCAAAGAAAATGGGGCAATGAAAATTGCATTTCCTAAAATTCTCCTTGAATTATGTTTTAACATTTCAAGTGTGTTAATGTAATGCTTTAGAAGCTAAAGGGAATGATTATATAGGAAGCTAAAGTCATCTATGTCTATCCTCGGGATTGATTAAGTTTGCTATTTATACATGTTTCCCCCACAACATTGCTGTGTTGGAATTTATCAGGATAGGAACCATCTAAATTGAAAATGCCCCTTCGTATATTTTTATCACAGTGAAAGTCAAAGCCTAGAATAACAGAAAGGCACAAAATTAATATCATCAGGAAACAATTTACTCAGCTAATTAGCATAACATTCTCATATAAAAAGACAGATGGATTAAGGGATCAGGTCATTCATAGCCTGCAGCAAACTGCTTCAGTCTTTAATCCCCTGCTGTTACCTATCAAATGGTACTCTTTTTATGGATTTGGACAGATCCCTGGGAAGATTTAGATTCTCCCATTGGACTGATTCACCTTGTTCCTTTAACTTTTTATTGATGATATATTTCATTATTTCCTGACTAAAACAACAGTAAGAACTCTAAATTAGTTAGCAGCTAAAGAATTGAACTAAAGGCGTATCTCCACATTTCTCATATAGTAGCTTCTACCACACACACACACACACACACACACACACACGATGCCCTGCAGTGCTAACAAATAGGCTCCGGCTTGAAGACAACCATAGAAGAGTTATATATATATATATCCTACTTCAATAAAAATTGGGATTTCATGCTACATACGCAACATTCAAGACAATTAGGAATAGCACAGTAACAGCCAGTAGTAACTATGAAAAATATCAAATTCTTTACATGGAAGTAGTCAATCAGCATAGATTATAGATTTCCATGAGTCCTTTAAAAATGTTTCCAAAAATAATGTCTAAGAAAACTATTAGTGAAGATGTTTGATCTATTGTATAGAAACCAAAACCAACAAATGAAAGAAAAGGCCTCTGGGAAAAAAAAATTATTTTAAAGTTTTAGGCTACAGGGAGATAATTTATTTCCCTTTGACTATTGTATTAGCTTTCTAGGGCTGCCATAACAAAGTATCACAATATAGGTGGCTTAAAAAAAAAAAACAAACATTTGTTGTCTCACAGCTCTGTAAGCTAGAAGCCTGAAATCAAGGTGTTGGCAAGATTGGTTCCTTCTGAAAAGTTCTGACTTAAAGTCCGTTCCACATGTGTCTTCTAGTTTCTGGTGGTTGCCAGCAATTTTTGGTGTTCCTTGACTTGTGCATGCATCACCCCACTGTCTGCCTCTGTCATTACATGGCCTTCTTCCTTATATTTCTTTATGTCTCTCTGTGTCCATATTTTCTTTCTTTATAAAGAAACCAGTCATTGAATTAGGGCCCATCCCATTTCAATATGACCCTGTTTCAAAATAACATCTGCAATAACCTATTTCCAAATAAGGTCACATTCACAAGTATTGGGATTAGTATTTCATTTTGGAGACTCGATTCAACACACAATGACTATAAACAATCAGAATGTTAGTTTATTAATTTATAACAAGAACTATGTTATATAAAATAAAATTCTTACTTCAGCATAAACAGTACATACTTTCCACCCAAACGCACATCTGTATGGGAAAACAAAATGTAGTCACATGATAGCTGGGTATGTATTAGATCAGAAAAATAAAGTTCAATGATTAGAATATTTAACACCATCAAGCTAATATAAATGTGCACATGCATTTATTTTTATTGTAGGAAGGCTTACCAACTTAACTGGCAATTTCACTTGCCCAGACTTCCTGCCTCAGGAATTGGACTTCCACTTAGGTGGAAAAGAGATTTATGCCTTAAAGATTCATCTGTAGCTCAGTTTCCATAGGCAACTAATTCTCCTTTCATTGACAGACTCTTTCTATAACTATGTTAATAAATTCAGTTCCAACATAGTAAAATCCTCTGACTTTACCCCGCTTAGGTTAGTTTACAGTGCTTCAGAAGGCATTCTTTCTACTCTTAGTTTTATATATTTATAAAGGGTTATATAAAACTAAGAGGGTTGTATTTTTGTAGCCATCTTTCTGATTATCCCCATGTACTGAGAATATGTGTGTGTGTGTGTATTGATACATTTTATTTAGATGTGTGTGTATATATATATATATATATATGCAAGACTATATGTATATAGTCTTGTCCTATTTGGAGGCCCATTAAAGTATTTTTTCTTCCCATTCTTTTACTTCAACTATGATATACAATTAATTCTGTTATACACACACACATACACATACATATACACATACATATATATGTACGTGTGTGTATACATATGTTTTAATAATCAAAGTTACAATTTATTTTGAACATATTATTTGCCAGAATTTATATGGCATACTTTGAATTCACTAACCTATTTAATCTTTAATATCTAAATGGGATAATTATTATTATTTATTTTTCAAAGATGGAGTAACAAAGGCTTCTGTTACCCCTCAATGTTGCCCATTCTCTACAGACTGTATAATAGAAGTTAAAATTATTTTTGCCCAACATCAAATATCTTGCATCATACTGCATTCCTTTCAGCAACCTGCATTTTTCAGCATCCTGCAATTTCCCTATAACCTGGAAATTTTGAACCTCCATGTCTTCGTGTGTAATATTTTCTGCATGAAAAATGTGTCATTTCAACTTATCTAACTCTTGCTTACTATCTAAGGTAAGGTAGAAGTGCCAACTTTTTCAAGGTTTTAGATAAAAGGTGAAAATAATAGTCTCTTGGTCCACACTCACATAGCCCTTTGTTTATATTAAACACTATATTATATTATGCTATATTAATAGTCAGCTGTTTATTCATCTCCTTCAGCAGACTCTAAAGGCCATTAGGGACTTGCTAATTCATTTACTAATTAATTAAAGAAATTTGAGGAGAATATCAAGAATAACCCTCTACTTGTTCCCGGCCACCATTCATCACTCACTTTCTTAATTGTTCATTCACAGTGTACATATACGGTGATGTCAGAAACGTTACATCATACTTCCATGAGAAACAACTTTATTAACTGGAGCACTGTGCTTGTATACACTTCCTTTCACCTTTAATTTTACAGTCTCCTCTCATTTCTGAAATTACTTATTTCAACGCATTTTTTCCCACCCATCTCAGTGAGGTTGTTTCATATATTTTCAATACAGTTATAATATTTTGTCACACTCTGCATTCCATCTTGCAATCCCTCTACTTCCTAAAGGATAGTTTTTTTTAAAATTATATAAATTAATGTTTCCTCCTCAAGCTCAAAAACTCTTATGGATTTTGAGAAATGCATAATGTTATGTCCACCATTACAATATCATATAAAATAGTTTCAGTACAGTAAAAAATTTGTTTTCATGTTTCACATATTTAACCCTACTTCCTCTCCTCTCACCTCTGGAAGCACTAATCTTTTATACTATATTGTTTTGCCTTTTTTACCATGTCATATATTTAGCAATATATAATACGAGGCATTTGCTGACCAATTTCTTTCACAGAGCAATAAATATTGAATATTCATGTATTTATTCCTGTAGATTTATATTTATTTCTTTTTTCTGGATGTACCAGTATATCAATTCACTTACTTAAGGTTTAAGGCCATGTAGGTTGCTGTCCATTTTTGATAATTATAAAAAAGAACTCTGATAAACACTCACATTTTTATGTGATATAAATTGTCACATCATTGGGATAAATACTTAGAAGAATGATAGCTGAAGTACGTGGTGAGACGATATTTAGATTTGTAAGAAACTGCCAATCTGTCTTCCAGCGTGCAGTACCATTTTTAAAATTCCCTTCAGCAAACAGCTACTATTGCTCTACATTTTCACCAGAATTTGTAATACTTCGGTTCATGGATTTAAGCCATTTTAACTAATGTGTGGTAGTATCACAATTGTTTTAATTTGTGTTTCTCTAAAGAAAAAAAATACTGAGCATATTTTTATATGCCAGTTGCCATGGGTATTTCGGGGGCAGGGGTGAGGTGTCTTTTCAGATTCTATGCACATTTGTAATTGGCTTGTTTGCTTTCTTATTATTCAGTTTTCAGAGTTATTTGTATGTTTAGATACCAATACTTTATTAGATATATGGTTTACAGATATTTTCTTCTAGTTTGTGGCTTGTCTTTTAACTCTCTGGAGTCTTTCACAGAGCAGAAAATTCCATTTTAAATTTAACAAACTCTAACATCATTTTTTCTTTTGTAGCTAGAACTTTTCGTATTAATATTATATCTAAAAATCCATTATCAAACCTAATGTCACTCATTACATGTAAAGCATGCTTTCTTTTTCAACTATTCTAGTGGTTCCCCAGAGTATCCAATACACATTTGTTACTAATCTAAGATCACCTTCAAATAGCACTCCACCAGTTCACATATAGTGCAGGTACCTTAATAAGAAGTTACAGCGTGCTGGCAGCCCTTGCTCGCTCTCCGTGTCTCCTCGGCCTGGACGTCCACCCTGGCCGCGCTTGAGGAGCCCTTCGCCCCACCGCTGCACTGTGGGAGCCCGTCTGTGGGCTGGCCAAGGCCGGAGCATGCTCCCTCTGCTTGCGGGGAGGTGTGGAGGGAGAGGCACAGGCGGGAACTGAGGCTGCGCGCGGCACACGCGGGGGCGGCCCTGCACTCAGAGCGGTCAGACTGGTGCCACAGGCCCTGGGCAGTGAGGGGCTTAGCACCCAGGGCCAGCCGCTGCGGAGTATGCGCTGAGTTCCGCATCACTGCCAGCCCGCCCGCTCTAGGCTCGAATTCTTGCCAGGCCTCAGCCGCCTCGCTGTGGGGCAGGGCCCGGGACCTGCAGCCCGCCATGCCCGAGCCTTTCCCCGCCCGCGCCTTCCCCCGTGGGCTCCCAGCGGCCAGCGGGAGTCTCCCCAACGGCACTGCCCCCTGCTTCGTGGCGCCTGGTCCCATCAACCACCCAAGGGCTGACTAGTGCAGGCACCTGGCGTGGGACTGGCGGGCAGCTCCCCCAGCGGCCCCAGCGCAGGATCTGCTAGGCAAGCCAGCTGGGCTCCCCAGTGAGGTGGGGTCTTGGAGAACTTTTGTGTCTAGCTGGAGGATTGTATATGCGCCAATCAGCACTCTGTGTCTAGCTCAAGGTTTGTAAATGCACCAATCAGCACCCTGTCAAAACAGGCCAATCAGCTCTCTGCAAAATGGACCAATCAGCAGGATGTGGGTGGGGTCAGGTGAGGGAATAAAAGCAGGCTGCCACAAGGGACAGTGATAACCGGCTTGGGTCCGTTTCCGTGGTGTGGAGGGTTTGTGTTTTTGCTGTTTGCAGTAAATCTTGCTGCACACTCTTTGGGTCCACACTGCCTTTATGAGCTGTGACAACCACCGGGAAGGTCTGCAGCTTCACTCCTGAGGCCGGTGAGACCAGGAACCCACTGAGAGGAATGAATAACTCCAGACGTGCTGCCTTAAGAGCTGTAACACTCACCGCGAAGGTCTGCAGCTTCACTCCTGAAGCCAGCAAGACCACAAACCCACCAGAAGGAAGAAACTCCGAACACGTCTGAACGTCAGAACAAATTCCGGACACACCATCTTTAAGAACTGTAACACTCACCACTAGGGTCTGCAGCTTCATTCTTGAAGTCAGTGAGACCAAGAACCCACCAATTCTGGACACGTTAATAGAATAGTCCCAGTTCATCCTTCATATCTTTTGTAACATAACCATCAGGCATTTCACTTACCCACATGCTGTAATTGCCCAAAACATTTACTAATATTACTTTAAACAAACATGTAGTTTAAAAAGATTTACAATAAGAAAAATAAAAAATTTTTTTTCCTTTTTCAACATACTTGCTTTCTTATTGTAAATACAGGTTTCTGATCTATATCACTCTTCTCCTCCATGAATAACCTCTTTTAACACATTTGCAGGAAAGTTTTCTGGCAATATATTCCGTTAGTGTTTTATTGTCTGGTAAATTCTGATTTCCCCTCTGCTTTTGAAGTATAATTTTGCTAGATGTAGAATTCTAAGTTGGTGCATTTATTCCTAAACATTTCCCGCAACTCTCTTCTTTCTTGCCTGGTTTCTTACTGGAAGTGGGCTGAAATCCTTGCTCTTTTTTCTCTACAAGGAATGTAGTTTTCATTCCAGATTCTGTCAAGATTTTCTCTTTGTCTATTTATTGATTTATTTTATTTTATTTTATTCTACATATAGGAAATGCTATGTCTGGTGCTGTATTTTTGTTGTTTGTCATGAATTGTATTCTCTGAGCTTCCCGGACCGGTTGTTTGTTTCATGTCATTATGTTTTAAAATTTCTTGACCATTACTCATTTAGATAGATTCTCCTCATTTCTCTCTTTCTTGTCTTTCTGCTATTCCAGTTTCCCATTTTGTACAACTTTAGAAACTGCCCAGCGGGTCTTTGATGTCCTTCACTTTTTTTTTCCGTTTATTTTTTCTTGGCACTTTGTTTTAAAATGTATTTTTGACCTATCTTTAGTTTCACCAATTCTTTCCCCAAACATGTCTGGTCTACTAATGAAACCATTGAAAGCATTTTAAAAAAATCTATTGGCGTTATTTTAATTTCTAGCCTTTTATTTTGGTTCTTTGTTAGAATTTTCATCTCTCTGCTTATACTAATCATCTTTTATTGAATATTTTCTACATTTTCCACTAGTGTCCTTAACATCTTAATCATAGTTATGTAAATTTCTTGATTGCTATTTCCAAAATATGCATCATCATCACTGAGTCTTGTTCTGATGATCATCCTGTCTCTTCAGATTGTTAATTTTTTTCTTGCCTTTTACCATGTTTTGTAATTTTGTTGCCATTGTTGAGAGCTAGACATGTGGTATCCATAATAGATATTGAGATAAATTGATGCTGAGATAAATTGATACTGAGATAAAGTTAATTGAGGATATATGTTAATCTGTCTTGGAGTTGAACTGCATTTAATATTTGTTATAGCTCAAGTTTCTGAAGGTTTCAAATTCCTCTAGTGTCCTTGTTTTTGTCTCCTCCCTTAACTTTAGGTTTCCTTAAGTACTCATCTTCAAACAGTGTCTGTTTCTTATAGCTCTTTTGTCTGTCTCCTTATATTGGAGTCATGTTGGTTTAAATTTTATGGTATGAGCAGAGAAATATGTTCTACAGTGCTCTGATTGAATATCCGCCTTTCAGTGGGCCTATGTCTTAGGTTATGACTTTTACGAGTGTTTTGCCAGTAGTTTATCTTTTGTCCCTATTACAGGACTGCCAGATTCATATGCCCACTGAGCAGCAATAGACCAATACACTGAGACATCATAATTTGCAGCAGAAAAAGAGTTTAATAATCACAATGCCATTGGGCAAAGAGATGAAGGAATCCTCAAGCTTCACATCTGTCTGCTTGAGGGGTTCTGGGCCAGGGTTTTTAAGGGGATTGTGGCGGGTGAGGTTCTGGAGAATTGGGGTTGTCAATTGCTCAGGTCAAGGAAGATTAAATCATCATGATGTGAAAACTGCATTCTTCTGTGAGTCGGCTCCTTGCTGGGACCTTCAGATCAACTGGCATCAACAATTTTATCAGTATGCGTAACATAAAGGAGAAACTCAAACAGAAAGCATATCATCTCATGTGCCTTAGATCTTATCTATAGAAAAGAAAAGGAACACATTCTTGTGACAAGGGCTACACTATCTTGGGGGAGTAAGAAGTAACTAGCTACAAGGAAGTAGGCCAAATTGGGAAGTGGATTTCATGATTGCCACTGATTATTCTGCAAGCCTAGTTGAATTTTATTTTCTCCCTTAATTGGTTTATAAACTTTTCTTTGGGACAGTTTCATCCTTTATCCCCTTTAGATGAGAAAAGAAGGTTAAATGAGGAGGTGCCAAGATGGCCAATTAGAAGCAGCTGTGGTCTGTGACTCCCATCTAGAAGAACAAAAATGGCGAGTGAATTCTGCACCTTCATCTGAGGTATCCAGATTCTCTCACTGGGAGTGACAAGGTGATTGGCCTGACCCACAGGGAGCAAGGAAAAGCAGGGTGGAGCAATGCCTCACTTGGGAGCTGCATGGGGCAAGGGGCACTCCCACCCCCAGTCAAGGGAGGCAGTGAGTGATTGTGCTCCCTTTCCTGAGGAACCATGCTTTTTCCATGGATCTGTGCAACTCACAGATCAAGAGATCCCCTTGTGAGTCCACACCACCAGGGCCTTGGGTGCCAAGCACAGAGCTGTGCAGACTCTCATCACCGCTCAGGCTGTGGCCAGTGACAGCAGACTGGAGACTGTCTAAGATGACTGAGTTCCCAGGGGAAGGGGTGGTTGCTATCACTGTGGCATCAGTTGGCTGTTTTCCCCTGGTGGTGCTGGGGAGACAGGGAGGTTTAGACCGGGAGCACAGCAGCTGTGGCAGATCATGGCCAGACTGCTTTTTTAGGTGGAACCTGGATCCATCCCTACTCATTGGGTGGGGCCCCCTTGTGGGAATTTCACCAACTCCAGCCAGAGGTTTATGGACAGAACTCTGATCTTCCTGGGCAGAACTCCTGTGGGGAGGGACAGCCACAGTCTCTGCGGTTCAGCAGACTTAGTCTTTCCTGCCTGCTGGCTCTGAAGGGTCTGGACATTCTGGACAAGGGAGATTCCCTCCAGTGCAGTGCACCCTCTCTGCCAAGGGGCAGCCAGAGTGCTTTGTTAAGTGGTCCCCGATCCTGTACATACTCCCTAACTGATTGAGACCACCAACAGGGGTCTCCAGGCACCTTATACAGGAGTGTTCCTGCTGGCATCACATCAGTGCCCCTCTGGGATGGAGCTCAAAAAAGAAGGAGCAGGCAGCCATCCTTGCTGTTCTGCAGCTTCCACTGGTGACACCTCCAGGTAGGGGAGGGACCAAGTGAATAGGGTCTGGAGTGGACCCCCAGCAAACTGCGGCAGCCCTAAGGAAGAGGGGTCTGACTGTTGAAAGAAAAACAAACAAACAGAAAACAACAACAACAAAAACATCCACAAAAATGGCCCCACAAAAACCCCTTCCAAAGATCAGCAGCCTCAAAGATCGAAGATAGATAAGCTCATGAAGATGAGAAAGAATCAATGCAAAAATGCTGAAAACTCAAAAAGCCAGAATGCCTCTTCTCCTCCAAATGATTGCAACACCTCTCCAGCAAGGGCACAGAACTGGGTGGAGGCTTGAGGTGGATGAACTGACAGAAGTATTCTTCAGAAGGTGGGTAATAACAAATTTTGCTGAGCTAAAGTATATTCTAAAACAATTCAAAGACGCTAATAACCATGAAAACATTATAGGAACTGTAAACCAGAATAACCAGTTTATAGAGGAACATAAATGACCTGATGGACCTGAAAAACACAACACCAGAACTTCACAATGCAACCACAAGCATAAATAACTGAATAGACCAAGCAGAGGAAAGAATCTCAGAGCTCAAAGACTATCTTGCTGGAATAAGACAGGCAGATAAGATTAGAGAAAAAACTGAAAAGGAATGAAAAATAATCAGAGAACTATGGAATTATGTAAAAAGACCAAACCTACAACTGATTGGGGTACCTGAAAGAAATGAGGAGAATGAAACCAAGTTGGAAAACATACTTCAGGAAATCATTCAGGAGAATTTCCCCAACCCAGCAAGACAGGCCAACATTCAAATTCAGGAAATTCAGAGGACTTCAGTAAGATCCATGAGAAGATCAACCCAAAACACATAATTGTCAGTATCTCCAAGGTCAAAATGAAGGAAAATTGTTAAGAGCCACGTCACCTAGAAAAGGAAGTCCATCAGAATAACAGTGGACTCCTCAGCAGAAACCCCATAAGCCAGAAGAAATTGGGGGCTAATATTCAACAGTCTTTTTTTTTTATACTTTAAGTTTTAGGGTACATGTGCACATTGTTCAGGTTAGTTACATATGTATACATGTGCCATGCTGGTGCGCTGCACCCACTAACTCATCATCTAGCATTAGGTATATCTCCCAATGCTATCCCTCCCCCCTCCCCCCACCCCACAACAGTCCCCAGAGTGTGATATTGCCCTTCCTGTGTCCATGTGATCTCATTGTTCAATTCCCACCTATGAGTGAGAATATGCAGTGTTTGGTTGTTTGTTCTTGCGATAGTTTACTGAGAATGATGATTTCCAATTTCATCCATGTCCCTACAAAGGACATGAACTCATCATTTTTTATGGCTGCATAGTATTCCATGATGTATATGTGCCACATTTTCTGAATCCAGTCTATCATTGTTGGACATTTGAGTTGGTTCCAAGTCTTTGCTATTGTGAATAATGCCGCAATAAACATACGTGTGCATGTGTCTTTATAGCAGCATGATTTATAGTCCTTTGGGTATATACCCAGTAATGGAATGGCTGGGTCAAATGGTATTTCCACTTCTAGATCCCTGAGGAATCGCCACACTGACTTCCACAATGGTTGAACTAGTTTACAGTCCCACCAACAGTGTAAAAGTGTTCCTATTTCTCCACATCCTCTCCAGCACCTGTTGTTTCCTGACTTTTTAATGATTGCCATTCTAACTGGTGTGAGATGGTATCTCATTGTGGTTTTGATTTGCATTTCTCTGATGGCCAGTGATGATGAGCATTTTTTCATGTGTTTTTTGGCTGCATAAATGTCTTCTTTTGAGAAGTGTCTGTTCATGTCCTCCGCCCACTTTTTGATGGGGTTGTTTGTTTTTTTCTTGTAAATTTGTTTGAGTTCATTGTAGATTCTGGATATTAGCCCTTTGTCAGATGAGTAGGTTGCGAAAATTTTCTCCCATTTTGTAGGTTGCCTGTTCACTCTGATGGTAGTTTCTTTTGCTGTGCAGAAGCTCTTTAGTTTAATTAGATCCCATTTGTCAATTTTGGCTTTTGTTGCCATTGCTTTAACTCATTTTATGAGGCCAGCATCATTCTGATACCAAAGCCAGGCAGAGACACAACAAAAAAAGAGAATTTTAGACCAATATCCTTGATGAACATTGATGCAAAAATCCTCAATAAAATACTGGCAAAACGAATCCAGCAGCACATCAAAAAGCTTATCCACCATGATCAAGTGGGCTTCATCCCTGGGATGCAAGGCTGGTTCAATATATGCAAATCAATAAATGTAATCCAGCATATAAACAGAGCCAAAGACAAAAACCACATGATTATCTCAATAGATGCAGAAAAAGCCTTTGACAAAATTCAACAACCCTTCATGCTAAAAACTTTCAATAAATTAGGTATTGATGAGATGTATTTCAAAATAATAAGAGCTATCTATGACAAACCCACAGCCAATATCATACTGAATGGGCAAAAACTGGAAGCATTCCCTTTGAAAACTGGCACAAGACAGGGATGCCCTCTCTCACCACTCCTATTCAACATAGTTTTGGAAGTTCTGGCCAGGGCAATTAGGCAGGAGAAGGAAATAAAGGGTATTCAATTAGGAAAAGAGGAAGTCAAATTGTCTCTGTTTGCAGACGACATGATTGTATATCTAGAAAACCCCATTGTCTCAGCCCAAAATCTCCTTAAGCTGATGAGCAACTTCAGCAAAGTCTCAGGATACAAAATCAATGTACAAAAATCACAAGCATTCTTATACACCAAAAAGAGACAAACAGAGAGCCAAATCATGAGTGAACTCCCATTCACAACTGCTTCAAAGAGAATAAAATACCTAGGAATCCAACTTACAAGGGATGTGAAGGACCTCTTCAAGGAGAACTACAAACTACTGCTCAAAGAAATAAAAGAGGATACAAACAAATGGAAGAACATTCCATGCTGATGGGTAGGAAGAATCAGTCTCGTGAAAATGGCCATACTGCCCAAGGTAATTTACAGATTCAATGCCATCCCCATCAAGCTACCAATGACTTTCTTCACAGAATTGGAAAAAACTACTTTAAAGTTCATATGGAACCAAAAAAGAGCCCGCATCGCCAAGTCAATCCTAAGCCAAAAGAACAAAGCTGGAGGCATCACGCTACCTGACTTCAAACTATACTAGAAGGCTACAGTAACCAAAACAGCATGGTACTGGTACCAAAACAGATATATAGATCAATGGAACAGAACAGAGCCCTCAGAAATAACGCCACATATCTACAACTATCTGATCTTTGACAAACCTGAGAAAAACAAGCAATGGGGAAAGGATTCCCTATTTAATAAATGGTGCTGGGAAAACTGGCTAGCCATATGTAGAAAGCTGAAACTGGATCCCTTCCTTACACCTTATACAAAAATCAATTCAAGATGGATTAAAGAGTTAAACGTTAGACCTAAAACCATAAAAACCCTAGAAGAAAACCTAGGCATTACCATTCAGGACATAGGCATGGGCAAGGACTTCATGTCAACAGTCTTAAAGAAAAGAATTTCCAGCTCAGAATTTCATATCTGGCCAAACTAAGCTTCATGAGCAAAGAAGAAATAAAATCCTTCTCAGACAAGCAAATACTGAGGGAATTCATCACAACCAAGACTGCCTTGCAAGAGCTCCTAAAGGAAGCACTGAATATGGAAGGGAAAAACCATTACCGGCCACTACAAAAACACAGTAAAGTACACAGACCAATAATATTATGAAGCAACAACATTAACAAGTCTGCAAAATAACCAGATAGCATCATAATCACAGGACCAAATTCACACATAAGAATATTAACCTTAAATGTAAATGGACTGAATGTCCCAATTAAAAGACAAAGACTGGCAAACTGGATAGTCAAGACCCACCAGTGTGCTGTATTCAGGTGAACCATCTCATATGCAAAGACACACATAGGCTCAAAATAAAGAGATGGAGGAAAATTTACCAAGCAAACGGAAAGCAGGAAAAGGAGGGGTTGCAATTCTAGTGTTTGAGAAAACAGGCTTTAAATCAACAAAGATAAAAAAAGACAAAGAAGGGAATTACATAATGGTTAAGTATTCAGTTCATCAAGAAGAGGTAACTATCCTAAATACACATGCACCCAATTCTAGAGGACCCAGATTCATAAAACAAGTTCCTAGAGACCTACAAAGACATTTAGACTCTCACATAATAATAGTGGGAGACTTTAACACCCCACTGTCAATATTAGACAAATTATCAAGACAGAAAGTTAACAAGGATATTCAGGACTCAAACAGCTGTAGATCAAGTGGACCTGATAAGTATCTACAGAACTCTCCATTCAAAAACAACAGAATATACATTCATCTTGGAGCTACATGGCACTTACTCTAAAATCGATCACATAATTGGAAGTAAAACACTCCTCTGCAAATGCAAAATAACTAAAATCTTGATAGTCTCTCAGACCACAGTACAATCAAATTAGAACTCAAAATTAAGAAACTCACTCAAAACCACACAACTACATAGAAATGTAACATCCTGCTTCTGAATGACTACTGGGTAAAAAATGAAATTAAGGCAGAAGTCAAGAAGTTATTTGAAACTAATGAGAACAAAGAGACAATGTCCCAGAATCTCTGGGATACAGCTAAAACAGCATTGAGGAAATGTATAGCACTAAATATCCACATCAGAAATATCTCAAGTCAACATCCTAACATCACAGTTTAAAGAACTAGAGAACCAAGAACAAACAAACCCCAAAGCTAGCAGAAGGCAAGAAATAAGTAAGATCAGAGCAAAACTAAAGGAGATTGAGACAGGAAAAACCCTTCAAAAAATCAACAAATCCAGGAACTGTTTTTTTGAAAAAAATTAACAAAATAGACTTTTAGCTACACTAATAAGAAAAGAGAGAAGATCAAATAGACACAATAAAAAATGATAAAGGGGATATGAACACTGAGTTTACAGAAATACAAACAACCATCAGAGAATACTATAAAAACCTCTATGCAAATAAATTAGAAAATCTAGAAGAAATGGATAAATTCCTGGACACATAAACTCCCAAGATTGAACCAGGAAGAAGTTGAATCCCTGAATAGACCAATAACAAGTTCTGAAATTAAGGCAGTAATATATAGCCTACCAACCAATGAAAGACCAGGACCAGATGGAATTATGGTGGAATTCTACCAGATGTACAAAGAGGAGCCAGTGCTATTTCTTCTGAAACTATTCCAAATGATTGAAGAGGAGAGACTCCTCCCTAATTCATGTTATGAGGCCAGCATCATCCTGATACCAAAGCCTGGGAGAGATACAACAAAACAAGACAACTTCAGGCCAATATCCCTGATGAACATCGATGCAAAAATCCTCAATAAAATACTGGCAAGCCAAATCCAGCAGCACATCCAAAAGCTTATCCACCACAATCAAGTTGGCTTCATCCCCGGGATACAAGGCTGTTTCAACATATGCAAATCAATAAATGTAATCCATTACATAAACAGAACTAAAGATAAAAACCTCATAATTATCTCAATAGATGCAGAAAAGGCCTTTCAACAACACTTCATGTTAAAATTCAACATCCCTTCATTTTAAAAACTCTCAATAAACTAGGTATTGAAGGACCATACCTCAAAATATTAAGAGCCATTTATGACAAACTAACAACCCATATCATACTGAATGGGAAAAAGCTGTGAGCATTTTCATTGAAAAGAGGCACATGACAAGGATGCTCTTTCTTACCACTCCTATTCAACATATTATTGGAAGTTCTGGCAAGAACAATTAAGCAAGAGAAAGAAACAAATGGTATTCAAATAGGAAGAGAGGAAGCCAAATTGTCTCTGCAGATGACATGATCCTTTATCTAGAAAACCCCATTGTCTCAACCCCATTGTCAGCAAAATCTCAGGATAAAAAATCAATGTGTGAAAATCACAAGGATTCCTGCACACTAACAACAGACAAGCAGAGAGCCAAATCATGAAAGAACTCCAATTCCACAATTGTTACAGAGAATAAAATACCTAGGAATACAGCTAAGAAGGGAAGTGATAGAAAGAACCAATATGATTAAAATGGCCATACTACCCAAAGTAATTTATAGATTCAATGCTATTCCCCTTATACTAACATTGACATTTTTCACAGAATTAGAATAATCTGTTTTAAAATTCATATGGACAAAAAAGAGTCTGTAGAGCCAAGATAATATTAAGCAAAAATAGCAAAGCTGGGGGGATCATGCTACCTTACTTCAAACTACACTACAAGGCTACCAAACCAGCATGTAAACAAAACAGCATAGTGGTGGTGCAAAAACAGACTCATAGACCAATAGAACAGAATTGAGAACTCAGAAATAAGACCACACAGCTACAACCATCTGATCTTCAACAAACCTGACAAACACAAGTAATGGGGAAAGGATTTTCTATTTAATTAATGGTGCTGGAAGAACTATGGAAGAACTTTAGCCATATGCAGAAAATTGAAACTGGACCCCCTTCCTTACACGTTATACAAAAATTAGCTCAAGATAGGTTAAAGACTTAAGTGTAAAATCCAAAACTATAAAAACCCTAGAAGAAAATCTAGGCAATACCATTCAGGACATAGGCATAGGCAAAGATTTCATGACAAAAATGCCAAAAACAATAGCAACAAAAGCAGAAATTAACAAATGGGGTCTAATTAAACTAAAGAGCTTCTGCTCAGCAAAAGAAACTATCATCACAGTGAACAGACAACCTACAGAATGGGAGAAAAATTTGCTATTTATCCATCCGACAAAGGTCTAATATCCAGAATTTACAGGGAACTTAAACAAATTTACAAGAAAAAAACAGACAATCCTATTAAACAGTGGGCAAAGGACATGAACAGGCACTTCTCAAAAGAAGACATTTATGTGGTCAACAAACATGCAAAAAAAAAGTTCAACATCACTAATCATTAGAGAAATGCAAATCAAAACCACAATGAGATACCATCTCACACTAGTCAGAATGGTGATTATTAAAAAGTCAAGAAACAACTGATACTGTTGAGGCTGCAGAGAAATAGGAATGCTTTTACACTGTTGGTAGGAATGTAAATTAGTTCAACTATTGTGGAAGACTGTGGCAATTCCTCGAAGTCCTAGAACCAGAAATACCATTTGACCCAGCAACCCCATTACTAGGTATGTACCCAAAGGAATATAAATCATTTTATTATAAAGATACATGCATGTGTGTGTTCATTGCAGCACTATTCACAATAGCTAATACATGAAATCAACCCAAATGCCCATCAATGATAGACTGGGTAAATAAAATGTGGTACATATACAACATGGAATACTATGCAGCCATAAAAGGAAATGAGATCAAGTCCTTTGCAGGGACATGGATGGAGCTGAAAGCCATTATCCTCAGCAAACTAATGCAGGAACAGAAAACCTTGAAATATGAGCTATAATGAGGGGCACTAGAGGTACTTGGCTTTAAAAAGACATAGGTGCAGTGACATGATGTTAGTTACATAGCCTTTGAAGTCATGTTGTGTGAAAGAGCAGTTGGATATTGACGTTGGCTACCAAAACCAATGGGTAGGCATTTAGATTTTGGTTCACTAGAAAACCTGAACTATCTATCGATTAAGCTCTCAAAAACTAAATAGACTGCTGTCTCCTAAATAAAATATGTCTCCCACTGTGGAAATGTCATTGATTTTCAATTTGTATAGCTTTTATTATTATTATTATTGTAAGGCCAGGAATGACAACTTCTGAGCCCTTCACATGTTGGTGATAAATCCAAAAGTCCTGTAATGTATTTGTTTTCTCATTTTTTAAAACCAAATATTTGAAGCTATTTTATTAAGGGTTTCCTTTTCCTCAAAAAGTAAATGCATTAAATATAATCTAGATATTCTACACTCATGAGAAAGATATTTCATTGTATATAACCAGAGCTATAGGCCTACAAACATTTGGACTTTATCAGAGGTAAATAATAAGAGATAATACTATTCGTTAAAATTAAAGTATAAATTTAGATCATTATTTTTAATTGGTTATTTTTTAAAGCTGACATAACTTTAATTTACAATGTAAACTCAGGAGTGAAAGAGCATTAAGTAACTCATGATCTGTAAAGAAAATTTCAAAATTTAAGGTAAGTAATGAGATTTCCCCATATTTCTGTGTTTAATTCATCAATGTTTTTAAAATACTTAAACCAGCTAAGAAGTGTGTTCAGGTTTCTATTTATTTTAAAAGTGACTTACGTATTTTTCTCACAAGGGGGGATGATTGTAGAGGAGTTTAGAGCCTGCATCGTGGTTCCAAGTTAGCATCACCGTTCCTGGTCCTTCCATCTTTCTGCTTAGTCATATTTAACTTGTGTTTATTTCTTCATGATCAGAATATGTGTCTTTCTCAACTATCATATGTATGTTCTAGGTAGAAAGGAGAAAAACAAGAATTTATGTTGTTCTGTCAAATTATAGAAAGTTTATTTGATAATAAATCAACTGTTAAAAAGTACCCCTTAAAAGTATAGTAAGTATACAATATTAAAAGAAAGCATGGGACTTTGCACAATTGTGAAATCTATTGAGAATTTTGTAAGTTTTTAAATTTTGATCTGTGCTGTCATTTATTAATTCAGTCAAAATTTGCTTCAAAAACACATAGTTGTCAGAATATGTAAGTGCCTTAGAAGAGTGCAATCTATAAGTAAAATAATTCTGAATATTCATCTGAAATAGTTTGAAAAGGTTTTGAAAATCTACTGTCTCTCTTATTTCTTGTAATCAACATATTTCTCAATAGGAAAATTCACCATTTGCCATCAAAATGTATTGTCTGAAACTTCCACTGGAACCTTCATATGGCAAAATATTTAGGCATTCTGAGGAGATGCAAAGTTTGCTAAGCAGAATAAATGTGTTTTAATATTTAATAATTATAAATGATATTTGGAAAATTATAAAGATGTTCTTAGTTCAATTAATAGAGTAAGATTTATATATCTATTAAGAGTGCTGGGCCAGACAGGGTGGCTCACGCCTGTAACCCCAGCACTTTGGAAGCCCGAGACGGGAGGATCACCTGAGGTCAGGAGTTTGAGACCAGCCTGGCCAACATGGTGAAACCCCATCTCTACTAAAAATACAAAAATTAGCAGGGCATGGTGGTGCTTGCCTGTAATCCCAGCTACTGAGGAGGCTAAGGCAGGAGAATTGCTTAAACTCGGGACATTTCAATGAGCTGAGATCTAGCCACTGCATTCCAGCCTGGGCAACACAGTGAAACTCCGTCTCAAAACAAAACAAAAAAAAAACAAAAGTGCAGGCAACACATTATAATCAATATTAAAAGTTTTTATGTTGAAAGATGGATAAGAATTAAAACTTTGATTTTTCAACTGAGATATTTAGTTGAGATATTTGAAATTACTGGAAAGCAAAAGGAAATTTTAATGTACTGCGGAGTAGCCTAGGGTAGTATGTGTATGTATTTCTACTAAATGCAAAAGAAAGTACCAGATAAAAATGCAATAGGCTTCTACTTCTAGTTCAGGATGGGAAAAGATGGGGAAGACCAAAAAAGATCTGCATAATGCACAAATCCATGTGATTTCTGAAGGGAGTGGACACGATCAGTCTTGATAAACTGATAACTAGTTAGTGGATCTGCAGGTTTCATCTGTGGTATTTTCTTTTAGATGATTTGTGTAGTGACTAAAAAACAGTCAATACATTTAAATAAACTGCACATTGTGCACATGTACTCTAAAACTTAAAGTATAATAAAAAAATAATACAATAAATAAATAAACTTATTTTCTGGTTTAGTAATTGAGGTTGGCCAATGTCTATTATTAATTGTTAACTATTTCCTAATCAATAATCTGTCTTATATTAAACTGTACATACACTTTACAAGAAATTTGAGTTACACTCACACATAACTGAATAACATATTTAATGCTTATATAGGCATGCATATAATGTTAAAATCTAGATATAAAAATAAGAAAATGAAACCATAATTTTTAAGTAATGGAACTTGTTCCAAAAGATCAAATGTGGTTATGCATAGGTATGACAATTCTGAATCCTGCCCTCAGGCAGCATCTGAACACTGTTTTATTAGCTATCAATAAATTGTCTGCACTGCAGGCCGATGATGGTTTAAGGACAGCAGTGTTAATAATAATGTTCAAAGTGTCAGTCTGGAGGGGAGGCAATAATTGACTGTATGAGACTATTAAGCTATAAAAACAATGTTTTATTTTGAGCATCAAAATATGATAGACAGAGCTTCAAATGCTCTTGGTGAAGTCATTATTAACACATACAAAACTGATTTTCATTCAACATTTACTGTAGAGAAAATTATATTCCATCAGGCTTTAAAATTGAGAAGAAAACAGAAAGAGTAAGTCTTAAATGCCTTTCTTCCTCACCTTCCTCCTTCACCTAGTTTGCCTGCGGACCTACACTGTTACATTCCCACATACCTCCTGTGTGTATTTCTTTGCAGATCATTTACCTTACATTTCTACATTTCCCCTTAATTTTTTCCTCATCAATAGATGAGAAAAAAAATTTGTTAAATCATGGTAGATGAATATGGACCAGATCATCCCATGAACTACGTTCAATCATTGGTTTTACCTTTCAAAAAATTCTGAATGAAATATGTAATAATTTAATATTCTAAAACTTTATTTTTTCAGGAATATTTACATATATTCACCCTTCCTTCTAAAACAGTGGCCAGAGCAGTTAGAAAACAAAAGCATGAGAAACAGTAACTCTTACAGTTGTATTATGCCTGTATGCCTTCCCAGTTCTGCAAAGATTATGAGGATTTTTTTAGGTCTGTACATAGTTTTAAAATATCCTAAAACAATCCACATAAATAAACTCATTACCATAATAATCTGCAAGATAGACATTGTCATCCTCAAGTAATATCAAATAAATCTTATTTGCCTGCAAGATCTGAATCTGAAAATCCCAAAGCTCAAGTTTACCTAGCTAATAGGTAGTAAGACTGGGGCCTCAATCTGGTTTATCTAATTCTGAAAAGTGTTTTGCTATAAAAGCACTATAGGAAATAAAACATTAGACTTTATACCTTTAGATAATAAGAATATTTATGTCATTGAACCTGAAAAGATACTGTTTAACTTTCATGTTCTACTTGTCATTTTTCTTTTCTGCTTTTATATGTAATTTAGGTAATAGATACCCAGGAATCAACTTAAATTCCCATCAGTGGTAGACTGGAAAAAGAAAGTACGGTACATATACACCATGAATTACTATGCAGCCATAAAAAAGAATGAGATCTGTCCTTTGCGGCAACATGGATGGAGCTTGGAGGCCATTATCCTTAGCAAAGTAACACAGGATCAGAAAACCCAATACTCCCTATTTTCACTTATCACTGGGAGCTAAATAATGAGAACACATTGACAGAAAGAGCAGCACAATAGACACTAGGGTGTGCTTGAGGGAGGAGGATGAGAGATGGGTGAGGTTCAGGGAAAAAAAAATTGTTGGGTACTATGCTTACTACTCAGGTGACAAAATAATCTGTACATCAAACCCCTGAGTCACGAATTTACCTAAAGAACAAACCTCCACACGTTCCCATGAACCTAAAAGTTAAAATATTTAAAATAATAATAATAATTTTAAAATGTGAAATGTTGTGATAATTACTAAAATGTCAAATAGAGACACAAGGTGAGCACGTTGTTGGAAAAATAGAATGAATAGACTTGCTTGATGCAAGATTGCCACAAACCTTCAATTTGTGAAAAATGTGTTATTTGTGAAGAGCTATAAAGTGAAGCACACGCAAAAAAAGTGAGTTTGATTAATGCAATTCATTGTTGCTGAAAGATACCTTGAAATATGAGCTATAATGAGGGGCACTAGAGGTACTTGGCTTTAAAAAGACATAGGTGCAGTGGCATGATGTTAGTTACATAGCCTTTGAAGCCATGTTGTATGAAAGAGCAGTTGGATATTGACGTTGGCTACGAAAACCAATGGGTAGGCATTTAGATTTTGGTTCAGTAGAAAATCTGAACCATCTATCGATTAAGCTCTCAAAAACTAAATAGACTGCTGCCTCCTAAATAAAATATGTCTCCCACCATGGAAATGTCAAGCTAGGGTCACAATTCAAGTAATGTAAATATGAATCTAATGACTTCCAAGATGCTTTTCCAACTTAAAGTGTTAGACAAGTACCTTTTAAAACAGTATACCATTTGAATTACCTGCAACCATTTTAATATTTCTGAGAGGGTTTTTTTTGTGTGTGCTCCTTCTTTCATCACATGGAGAGTTATTTTGCCTTTTAGGGTAAAATATAAAAACAAATGCACGTCACAATATGATGTGGCAAACGTTACCCAGAAGCCTTAGTGATGTTGTTGCGATGGTATTAGCATGCACAGAGTATGCAACTCGCAGCTCTGCTGTGTGCACTTGTTCTTTTGCTTTCTCTCATGTGTTCTGCTCCATATATTTTAAGAGAGTTTAATGTGGGTGTTCCAATTCAATCCCATTAGAGTACTATGTATATTATTGTTACTAAACCTTGCCTTCATAATCATTCCTAAGTATGTGGTCTATTGAAAAGCAATCATTTATATCTTTAGGAGGATGAATGGGAAGTCACAGATCTAGAACAATAATCAACTTGAACTCATGCTGCTAGCACAGGTATGGATTTTTAATATAATCTCAGGCAGGGAAGTGCTTGCAGGCATGTTTTCTCAGTCAGGAGCTGAGAGCATATGCACGATGGCAGACACAAGGTAACTACCCTTTGGCTGGTTGAAAGATGAAGTCATTATAAAGCTGGATTTTAAACCAAATGTAGTGCTGGCTGCTGTCTGAACTTACCTAAAACATACACTATATTTTAAAAAGAAGGCTGAGAGTCACAGAAGTAAAACAAATAAATTCCAAAGTTGGTGTTTTATATTATCATTTATCTGCAATAAGTGATAATTGATATTCCAAAAATATACTTTGCTTTGAATTCAAATTGTTTATTTTGAACAATTAGTGAGTTCATCTCTGCACATGCCTAAAGAAGATAAATCAATAAATAAAAGAATAAAAATTAAAACTCTATATAATAAACACTTGATTTCTTAGTCCTGATTTCTCTTTTATTATGAAGACCAGAAGCAGAATGTTATTCTATTTTACCTAAAAATATATATATGATCTTTAGAAACTCCTTGTCAGCAATCATCTATCTGTGTGTGGGTATATATATATATATATATATATATATATATATATATATATATATATCTCATACAAACAATATGTATCACATTTATATGTTATCAAGCACAATCATATAATAAACTCACAAATGTCCAACTCCAAAACTAGAAAATTATTAATAGCTTGTACTACTCCTGTGTTCTTCCCCATCTGCCTGTAGGAATTATTTCTTTTTCTAAAGTAGTTTTCTTACATACATATATATATATCAAAGAATGTGTTTTTGCTTATTTTTCAGCTACAAGTTTGTGTCACACTGTATATAGTCTACCGTATTACTTTTTTTTTTTTTTTTGAGACGCAGTCTCACTCTGTCACCCAGGCTGGAGTGCAGTGGCACAATCTCCATTCACTGCAACCTCCGCCTCCCGGGTTCAAGGGATTCTCTCCTGCCTCAGCCTTTTGAGCAGCTGGGATTACAGGTGCCCAACTACACCAGGCTTTTTTTTTTTTTTTTTTTTTGAGACCGAGTCTCGCTCTGTCGCCAGGCTGGAATGCAGTGATGTGATCTTGGCTCACTGCAACCTCCGCCTCCCAGGTTTAAGCAGTTCTCGCACCTCAACCTCCCGAGTAGCTGGGACTACAGGTGTGTGCCATAACACCCTGCTAATTTTTGTATTTTTAGTAGAGACAGGGTTTCACCATGTTGGCCAGGATGGTCTTGATCTCTTGACCTCGTGATCCACCCACCTTGGCCTCCCAAAGTGCTGGGATTACAGGTGTGAACCACCACACCCAGCTACTGTATTACTTTTTATGCCTCCAGAATTTTTCTGTGTTGTTGCAGGTGTCTGTTGTGCCTTAATTTTTGCTATTGTAGAGGATTCTATTATGTGCAATTGCGCAGCAGTGTATGTATCTGTTCCCCTGTGGATGGACATTTGGGTTGTGTCCAGTGTCTCTTGACCACCTACCTTGTGCCATGCCCCCGACCCTCCTGCCATTACTCCACAATCTAGCTACATCCACAAAGCCATGACTTCACAAAACCCTGTCTTCCACTTCTGAGCTCCAGACCATATAAAAGGCATAATGGTGTTTATTGAGCACTTACTCTGAGCTAGAAACGATTCTCAACATTTTACATGTGGTAGCGCATTTAATATTCACAGCAACACAAATGGGAAGTAATATTCTTATCACCGTTTTACAAATGAGAAGACCAAGGCCCAGAAGAGTTGAATATCTTGCTCAAGATCACACACCTTTTGCCACCCCCCATTCCAAGTCCCATAGGCAACTCAGACTCAGCACATCCATGATGTAACTTATCATCTTCCTCTCCAAACAATTTCCTCACTTGTGCCCTACTCTCAGTGGGGACATCTCCAATCCCCAGGCCCAAGCTGGAAACCGGAAGCCATTTCTGACTCCTCCCTCACCCACTCCATCCAAATGGAGCCCAAGTCCTGTACATTGTACTTCTCGGGTATTGATCAATCCCGGCCCTTGTCTCCATGCCCACGGTGCTGACCCATTGTTAGGTGCCCGGCTGCTGCTCCTGGGTCATCACTTCCCAGCACTCTCTTCGCAGGCCCATCTCCACCATTTCCAGCATCCTACACACTGCGGCTCAGGTGTGCTTTCTAAACCTCACCTCACCATGTCCCCACCTCCAGAATGAAGCCCAGCCTCCTCTGCCCATCCCCTCAAACTGTAAAGTGCAGATCCCAGCCCCAAAAAGGACACCCCCCACCACAATACCCTGCTCTGTCTCCTCCTCTGGGAAGCCTCCTGGCCTTGGCCCAGAGGCTGGATGTGAGCTCCCCCACCCCAAGCCCCACAGCCTCCAAGCCTCCCACTCTGCACTCACCTTCTTCCTTATAATTACCTGTCACCCATTAAACTGCAACCCTCAAAGGCAGAGCCCAGTGCATCCACTGCGCATCCCCAGTGTCCAGGCAGGGCCTGCACACAGTAGGTGCTCAATAATTGTTGAAAGGCAAAATACATGAGCAATGACAGGAACCATGGGTGATACTGCCTTCTGAGCCCCAGGCAACAGAGTGATTCCTGCCTGGCCCCAGGGTCAGTGGATCCTGGCCCCTCACCCCACCCAACCTCTGCAGCTGCTTCCCTGGAGCCCTTGGAGCCCTAAGAGGCCTCTTCCTGTGTCTTCATGTGTTCGAAGGATTTCCCTCTTTGCATCTTCCTTTCCTATTCCTTCATGTGGGAGCACTCTGGCACCAGGAAGAAGAAAGAGGAGCCCAACCCCTTACCAGCCTTCAATCTATAACAAGCATTCTCAAGGGAATTAAAACTGATTCTTAAAAGGGGAGGTGAAAAAAAATCTTACTCTTTTTTACGTATAAAGCACAGAACATATACAGAACATAAACAGATGTATAGTATATCTGTGGTATTAAAATTTCATGTGATTAAGAAAAAAAATCTGGAAGAATACTAGGGAAGGCACTAATGAAAAAAAGGCTAAAAAATTCTGATCTACCTTCTTGGGCCATGCCTTGTCTGGTCCAAGAACCGGCCAGAACTCGGGGAAGGGAACAACCAGGGGAGAGTCTAGAGTCCAGTCTCAGGATCCCCTCAAAGTATTTCCAAAGCCAGCCCCCCACCAGTCAGCTACAGTCCTTTCACCAAAACTGCCCTTCCTTCCCCCTTGCCTGAAAATCCCTCATTCTGTTTCTGTCATTCTTTCATCTTACCTTGTTCCTACTGAGGGCGCAGGTCAGCTCTTCCCCATTCTCCCCCTGGGGCACCCCAGTTCCCAGGGCATGAAAGACTTGAGGTGCCTCACCTCTACACCTTGGGCTAAGACATAGCCCTAGAGCTCCTGGAAGAACCCAGGAGGGAAGCCCAACCACAGGAGGCCCCCAGGAAGTGGGGGTACTGCTGTGGGACAAGCTTCTCTTTATTGGGGAAGGGATGGGATCACAAATAATCTCTGCTTAGAAGTGCTCTAGGGCCATGGATTCATGTAAGGGTGGGGCAGGGTGGACTGAAGATCTGTTGGCAGGGCTCACGGAGATGAGGGTAAGGGGAGAGATCATGGGTTCATGAGATCCCATCTTGGGCAATACGGTTATCCCGTGGTCTTCATATGCCACAGAGTCCTCCAATTTCAGGGGCTCCCGTGGGATGGTGGAGCCAATGAAGACCAGGTAGATGATGCCACCTAGAGAGGCACCCAGAAGTGGTGCCACCACTGGCACCCACCACAAGTTCTCCCCATCGCTGCAGGCAAGAGGCAGAGGCCGGCTGAGGGGGCTGATGCCCAGGACAGCACCCTCATCCACCTCGGGCCAAGACTGGTTGAGCAGAGGAGTCATCCTCAGGCTAACCCAGGAAACACCCCCAACCCGGGGCCCTGGTCAGCCTCAGCCCGATTCAGGGACAGGGTTGACACTCAGTGCAGGTGCAGGATCTGTATCTGTACTGGCCTGGGGAAATGTTGGGACTCACTCCTGCTCCCCAGGCCACCTGGGGGCTCTGCAGGACCCTCCTGTGCTGCCCCTCACATCACCCCCCACACCTCAACACACAGGGGCCCCACAGAAAATCTCAAAGGAATGGGCCTGGGCAGGGGCAGTACCTGAAGACCAGTTTGCCCCAACCAGCAATGAAGGTGAAGATGCGGGGGGGCAGGTCCCGGGACGGATTGATGGCATATCCTGTGTTCATGCCATGGTACACCCTGATGATGACCACGAGGATGCCTATCACCAGTGCGTGTGTTCCTGGCAGTGCTGGGTTGTTCTCCTGGTCCGTGATGGCGAAGAGACACAGCTGGAGCATCCCGGTCAGCCACTCCTGAGGAGCAGATGCTGTGGAAGCTCACCTGGGCCCCTCCCCAAGCCACAGGACCTCGGCAGTGCCCCAGACCCAAGCCCACCAGCAGAGACACATCTTGGTACAGTCTCCATCCAGAGTTCTTGTCCTGTCTATCCGGAGGGACTCCCTGCTGGCTCCGTCCTGAGGGGTGGAGGGCAGGGGGAGGGGTACTCATCCTGGACCACTGACCTCATTCAGGAAGCCCCGCCACAATGTCATGTGATCAGGAAGGTAGGTGGCAAAAATGCCAGCTGTAGCAACGGGACCGGTCACCATCAGCTCTCCACCCGAAAAGTGGAGAATGGCCGCTGTGGAGACACAGACTATCATGCGAACCTGTCCCCAACTAAGCCCCACCAGGGTCCCGGAAATTAGGTTATAGGTTAGAGGGTGGGAGACCTCCAAGGCTTTTTTCTCCCAGCTATTTTTTACAAATCAGGACACTGAGGTCCAATCTGCCCATATTTCATAGGAGGCAGCTGAGGCCAGAGGCGGACACCCGGGCAGGACGCTCACTGTAGAAGAGACTGTAGATGGTGGCAGCTGCCAGGAAGGAGCCCAGGAACTGCCCCAGCACATATACTGGAAACTTCCTCCAGGGCACACGGCCCAGTGCACAGTTAGTGAGGCTCACAGCTGCGTTCATGTGGGCTCCTGCGGGCAGCAGGCAAGTGTGTCAGGGAGTGAGAGCAGAACAAACAACAGTGACAAACAGTATGAGAACAACGATGGCTAGTGTGTATGACAGCATGCTCCGTGACAGAGTTCTCTCCTTGAGCCCTCACAACCACCCCGTGAGGCAGGGGCCACCGTCTTCCTTTCACTCTTAAGGAAACTGAGGAACACAGAGGCGATGGCTTGCCTAAGATGACCCAGCCAGTGAAAATGGTAGGTCGGGGGGGCCAGGAAGAATCTGGGGCAGACACGTCATAGGCACGGGGTTCAGAGGAGACTTCCTCCCGCCCGGTGGCCAGGCTGAGGCACTGGCTGTGCTGGCAAAGGAGCTGGCTGAGGCGGGCAGGAAAGAGCCTGTTGGGGACACCTGGTCTTGCCCGGTCCGGCAGGGCCTGGGCTCACTCACCAGAGGTGCGGCCTGCCATGTGCACTCCCATGGTGACTCCGAAGCCAAAACCCAAGTTGACACCAAGGTAGCTCCCAAATGTTTTATTTAGAAGCATATGGGCCACGGAACCAAGGCCGAATACCTACAAGGGAGGGCCTCTAAGGGGGCTGCCTGCCCAGAAGCCCCAACCTCAGAGGAGGGCTCAGAGCTCAGTTCTAGCTCCTCACCCCCATGCCCTGGGCCTCCCTGGCGTTGCCTCGAAGACCCTCTGCCATGCCCTCTTCCTCCAGAGCCTTCCCTCCTCACTGCCTCCTCTCCTTGCCCCTGCTGAGGCCTCTCAGACCTGAGCCACTGAGAGCCGGGTGGAGCAGCAGAGTTAGAAGCTCTTACTACAAACATCCAAGCACCTCAGCCCCAGGCCCACCTGAAGTTTTGGGGTGAGGCAGGGCTGCGAGGAGGGGATGGCTGGCATGCATTGCACCCCCTCAGAGTCCCTCACACTTCAGGCTGACCTGAAGGAAGTTTCTTCAAGGGACCTCCAAATCCATCCATGCCTGACTCTGCCAGGAACCCCTCCCTACACACACACACTCCACCGCAATTCCCACAATGCTGGAACAGTGGGGCCCTAACTGTCTTGCCCTCAGCTTCATTTCCACTGACCTCAGGCGGCATTCCCAAGCTGCTGCTTCTTGCCCATCCCTCACGGCTCCTCAGATAATGCTGCCTTCACAGGGGAAGGGGCCTACCTTCAGGCCCATTACCCTCAGTCTAGAGCCACTGTTCCCTTCAGCCCTGGCTCCTGTGCTATCCTCTCCCTCTGCAGAGGCCTCCGTCTCCCCCATACCTTCCATCCTCCCATTGATCGGTTCCCACACACTGGAGTCTCATCCTTCCCAGCAAACTGTCCCACCCCTGCCCAGTGTCCTTCTCCAGCTGTGGGTTCCTGGTTGCCCCCTCCCTGTTTCAGTCAGGCTGCAGGAGAGAACACACTGGCCAGCTGCTTCACCCCTTCCCTCGCACCCCCTCCTCAATCTGGCTTCCATTTCCACATGTCACAGACACCAAAGCTCTCTCCAAGGGCTCCAGCAACCTCCTGATTTTCCAAAGGTCTTTTCAGGCATGGTTTTACCACGTAGACAGTCTCAGCTATGCCTGATGCGCTGAAATTCCCGTCATCTCCGTGGGGGAGCCAGATGCCTATTTGCAAATCCCCACTGCAACTCTCCTGGTGTTCCACGGACGTCTCAGGCTCTGTTGAAGGTTCGCCATCTCACAGCACACCTGCTCCTCACTCTATGTTCCCCATCCCCGTTGGCCGAGCCAGAAACTCAGATGTTGCAAATGATAGTTAAGCACTATTATTCTCCCCCACTTGACAGATGGGTAATCTGAAGCTTAGAGAACTTGAATGGCTTGTCCAAGGTCACACAGCCTGTACATGGTGAGCCAGGATTAAATCCAGGCAGTTACCTGTGCCAGATGGCCTCAAACCAAACAACTGCGCTGCTCCATGCATGCCTTGCTTTCTTGTGCCTCTGTTTTATTTGTTTGTTTGTTTGATGCTTGAGATAGGGTTTTGCTCTATCACCCAGGCTGGAGTGCAGTGCCATGATCAGGGCTCATTGCAGCCTCCATCTCCTGGGCTCAAGTGATACTCCCACCTCAGCCTCTCAAGTAGTTGGGACTATGGGCATGTGCCTCGACACGCAGCCAATTTTTTTTTTTTTTTTTTTGAGACAGTCTTGCTCTGTCGCCCAAGCCGGAGTGCAATGGCGCAATCTCGGCTCACTGCAACCTCCAACTCCCGGGTTCAAGTGATTCTCCTGCCTTAGCCTCCCGAGTAGTTGAGATTATAGGTGCATGCCACCATGCCCAACTATTTTTTTGTATTTTTAGTAGAGACAGGGTTTCACGATGTTGGCCAGACTGGTCTCAAACACCTGACCTCAGATGATCAGCCTGCCTTGGCCTCCCAAAGTGCTGGGATTACAGGCATGAGCCATTGAGCCCTATCCCAGCTAAGTTTTTCAATTTATTTTGTGTAGAGATGAGGTTTCACTATGTTGACCGGGCTGGTCTCGAGCTCCTGGCCTTAAGCAATCCTCTCACCTCAGCCTCCCAGAGTGCTGGGATTACAGGTGTGAGCCACCATGCCTGGCCAGAATATCCTAATAATTTTACATTGATTGCATCTTGAAATAGGATTTTGGCTATATGGGTTAATTATTAAAATTAATTTCACCTGTTGCTTTTTACCTTTTTAATGTGGATACTAGAAAAAATTAAATTATACAGATGGCTTGTATTGTATTTCCCCTGGAGAACTCTGTTCTAGAGTTGATAAAGGAGAAAACCTGAAGAATTGTAGACATAAGGGCCAAAGTCAAAGCCGACAGAGGAGAAGGCCCCAGGAGAGGGTACAAGGTAAGAAGGCAGACCAGGCTGGGTGCGGTGGCTCATGCCTGTAATCCCAGCACTTTGGAAGGCCGAGGTGGATGGATCACTTTAGGTCAGGAGTTCAAGACCAGCATGACAAAACCCCGTCTCTACTAATAATACAAAAATTAGCCAGGCGTGGTGGTGCTTGCCTGTAATCCCGGCTACTCAGGAGGCTGAGACAGGAGAATTGCTTGAACCCAGGAGGTGGAGCTTGCAGTGATCTGAGATCACACCACTGCACTCCAGACTGGGCGACAGAGCAAGACTCCATCTCAAAAAAAGAAAAAAAAAAGAGTTGAAAGGCACCAGTGTAGACTCCTCTTCGAGAATTCGCCTGAGGAGCGGGGAAGAGAGAACATGATCCCGTGAAGGGGCTGACAGGGTGAAGGGAGGGATGTTTCATTTTGTGTTGTTTTCAGTGGAGAAACTTCAGTATGTTTATAGGCTGAGAGAGGGATGGGCTGAAGATAAAGGACAGAGAAAAAGGACAGAGTAAAGTACCTGAATAGGCTGGACAGCTGGATTGGTGCAGAAGTGGAGGTGTCCTCCAGGAAGGAGAGGACCCCACCCCAGCCAAGGGGTGATATGTGGATAGACGGGTGGTTAATGGGTCTGGTGGTAAGAGGGACAAGAGGGTGAGCTGAACATAGGAAGTGTTGATTATTTTACCTATCAAGCAGCAGATCAAGCCATTTGCTGATTTAAAAAAAAAAAAGAGTACAGAGCAGCTTTGGGGAAGTCTGAGAAAATGTGAAATAGCCCAGATATGGTGGGGGAGAGGCAGCTGAGCAGGGCCCACTGGGTCCCTCAGAAGCCCCAGGACAGGAGCAGGGGAGCCCAGAGCTAGGCTGGCTTCAGATCCAGGATAAGATACAACAGGAGAGGACAGGAACAGATGGGGGTGCAGGGGGGAGTGAGGTCAGGACAGGTTGACAGGCTGGCAGGGTCAAGAGGTAGAGGGACTGGAGGAGGCATGGAGGGTCTGAAAACAGAGGGGCCCCCATGGCCTTTCCCGCATTCCAATACCATGTGCTAAAAATACTGGATGAGCATAGGCCAGGTGTGGTGGCTCACGCCTGTAATCCCAGCACTTTGGGAGACCGAGGCAGGCCGATCATGAGGTCAGGAGTTTGAGACCTGCTTAGCCAACATGGTGAAACCCCGTCTCTACTAAAGATACAAAAAATTAGCCAGGTGTGGTGACACATGCCTGTAATCCCAGCTACTCGGCAGGCTGAGGCAGGAGAATCACTTGAACCCGGGAGGCAGAGCAGTGAGCTGAGATCACACCACTGCACTCCAGCCTGGGCAACAGGGTGAGACTCTGTCTCAAAAAAATAAAATAAATAAAATAAAATACTGGGTGAGTGAATGAACCCCACATGATTCCTTGTGTCAGGGTTGCCAACTGGCAACTCATGCACCTAATTCATCCAGCGCACAGATTTTGTTTAGATAACTTGGTTTTGAAGAACAGAAGTTTCCATCTCTCTTGAAAAATGAGCAGCTCAAGCAACACTGGCCTGCATTCCACCCTCCATGGCAACAGTCAGCTGGAGTGGCAGCAGCTCTACAGCCTTGCACAGATTGGCACTCTGCAGCCAGCCAAAGTCCCCACCGCCCTGAGTTGCCGCTCTCTTGGCCCCCGTAGCATGTGATCTACAACCCTTGCCCCGTGTCTCATGTGTATGGCTGGTTTTCCAGGGCCCGGATGGCTCCAGCCCCTCCTCTCCCTGATCAGTGAATGTGGCCCAGCCCATCCAACTCTCCCCCACAGCCAGGAGGCCAGCTCCAAGGGCAACACACCTGGAAGCTGCAACACGGATCAGTCCACTTCCCTTGTCCTGGCTGCAATAAATGGGGCCAAGGTCACACTAGCTTTTTTGGCAAAACTTCACCCTGGTGACTCACTGAGATTCCTATATATATATTTACAAAAAAAAAAAAAAAACCCTCACTTCTTGGCACAGCCTGGCAACTAAAAATAACAACACCACAATATCCGATATAGGCTTACGCCTCACAAAGTTCTTTTACAAGTGCTACTGTCTTCAATCCTCACAACAAATCTGCACAGCAAGAATTTTTCTCCCACTCTATAAATGGGGAAACTGAGGCCGAGAGAGGCATCTTGAACTACCTGAAAGTGAGGACTTTACCCTGGCTGGGGGAGCATTAACAAGCCAGTCTTTAAAAGCTGGCAATATTTAAGCTAAGGTACAGAGCATAGAGGTTAAGGGTCAAGACTGTGATATTGAGCTGGGCACGGTGACTCATGCCTGTAATCCCAGCACTTTGGGAGGCCGAGGTGGGAGGATCACTTGAAGTCAGGAGTTCAAGACCAGCCTTGACAACATGGTGAAACCTTGTCTTTCCTAAAAATACAAAAATTGGCTGGGCATGGTGGCATGCACCTGTAATTCCAGCTACTCCAGAGGCTGAGATGCAAGAATCGCTTGAACCCAGGAGGTAGAGGTTGCAGTGAGCCGAGATTGCACCACTGTGACAAAGCAAGACTGTATCTCAAAAAAACAAAAACAAAAACAAAAAAGACTGTGATATTAGACTGCACTGGATTTAATCTTGACTTAAAGTGTGACCTTGGGCAAAAGGCTTAGTCTCAAGGAGCCTCAGTTTTCCCATCTGTGAAACTGGGATAATAATAGTACCTACTTCACAGGGCTATTGCGAGGATTTGGGAAGATGCTGCACGTAAGGGGCTTAGCATCACAGAGCCCAGGATGCATTAGGTGCTCAATGAAAATCTCAACAAAAGGAAGAGGAACACAGATGTGGGCAGGTATCAAGCATGTGGGCGGTGCCTATTTCCCTAACAGCTCTCAGAGGATGCACCCTCCTGCCTCCGAGGCTCCAAGGGTTAACAGCCCTCATGGGGCTGGAATGTCTTGTGGTAAGTGAATTACTTTGCCCTGGATTAAGGAGGGACAGGATCCAACTGCTGTCCTCACAGCTCAGGAGCCAAAGCAGGTGGGGAGGTAAGAGAGGAGTAGGGGAGGGCCAGAGACAGAGAGGAGACAGCAGCTAGAGCACCCGTCCTAATAACAAGGGACCAATACATGGGTACCACACTGGGTGCTGAGACTTGGCCTTCTTCACACAAGTCCTCCTGTTAACCAATAAGGAAGCTAAAGTTGTGGGCCGGGAGAGGTGACTCACGCCAGCAATCCCAGCACTTTGGGAGGCCGAGGCAGGAAGGTCACCTGAATTCGGGAGTTCGAGACCAGTCTGGCCAACATGGTGAAACCCCATCTCTACTAAAAATAGAAAAATTAGCTGAGCACAGTGGCACATGCCTGTAGTCCCAGCTACTCAAGAGGCTGAGGAAAGAGAGTCACTTGAGTATGGGAGGTGGGGGCTGCAGTGAGCTGAGATCGTACCACTGCACTCCATCCTAGGAGACAGAGTGAGACCCTGTCTCAAAAACAAGAAAGCTAAATTTGTGAACAGTTAAGATACTTGTGGATAGTCGCACAGCTAGAAGATAACAGAGCTAGGATTCAAACACAGCTCCAAAGCCCACGAAGGCCTAATTCTACACGATATAAGTGAGAAGTCAGGCTTTAAGCCAGGGAGAGACCTGCCCAAGGCAACTGGTCACTCAGTGGCAGGGTCAGGCTAAGAAACCTGGTGTTCCAATTCCCTCTCTCCCTTGAGCTCCATGGGCTCCACCACACACACGAACAGCCTCTCTCACCCCACCTTCCTCTAGCATGCACCTGGCTGCCTTTGCCTCCCTTCCCAGAGGCTGCCCCTTCTTTCTCTAGACCCTGGACCCTGCATAAGATGCAATAAACATGGCTACAGTCATGTTAAGGGCAGAGGCTCACTGGGGTAAGTGGCAGGGCTGAAGCAGGTGGAGAGGGAGCAACCTCACATCCCACCTGCAGTCTGGATTCTGTCCCAATCACACACTAAAGAAGAGCCCTTGTCAAGGTTACCAGCAACCTCCACATTGGCAAACCCTAAGGCCCCTTGCCAGTGCTCACCTTGCGTGGCCCATCTGCCGCTGCCCATGCCGCTGACGGCTTCTTCCTGGTGGAACCACTGCCCCCCTCTGTCATGCAGTCGGCTCTGGTTCTCCTCCCACCTCTCTGACCATTCCTTCTCAGGCTCCTTTGCGTGCCCCTCTTCATTCCTCAGGGCTCTGTCCTCAAACCATCCTTTTCTCTTTCTGTACACTCCTTCTAGACAGTGTTGACAACCACCACCTGTGTTGTGATGAACTTCAACTTTTTCCTTCCAGACCAAGCCTCTCCTGAGCTCCAGCCCCTCGCCTGTGTTTAACTATCTCCTGGATTTCCCTACAGGCATCTTGCCTCTCACCCTGTGCTGGGCCCCGTGCTCCAGAACAGCTCATCGGCGCTTTGCCCACATGTTCTGCTGGCAGAGTCTCCCCGATTCCATCTTCCACAGCCCTCTCAAACATGTGCTTTCTTCTCCAACCCCAGATCAGTCATCACCCTCTCTCTGTCCCAGATCAAAAACAGCCTCTTAACTGGTTCCTTCTTGCCAGCCTTGCCTGTCCTGCTTATGCTCCACACTGCACCCAAAATTACCTTTAAAATCCAAATCTGATCATGTCACTCCCCTGCTTGCCAGCCTTCAACATCGCCCATTGCCCTCTGGATTCATTATCAGAGCCTGATCATCAAGTTTCTCTTCAATCTCTCTCTCTTTTTTCTTTTTTTTTTTTTTTTTTTTTGAGACAGAGTTTTGCTCCTGTCACCCAGGCTGAGTGCAATGGTGTGATCTCAGCTCACTGCAACCTCCACCTCCTGGGCTCAAGCGATTCTCCTGCCTCAGCCTCCTGAATAACTGAGATTACAGGTGTCCGCCACCATGCCCAGCTAATTTTTGTATTTTTAGTAGAGACGGGGTTTCACCATGTTGGCCAGGCTGGTTTCGAACTCCTGACCTCAGGTGATCCACTTGCCTAAGCCTCCCAAAGTGCTGGAATTACAGGCATGAGCCACTGCACCTGGGCCTCTTCAATCTCTTTACTCTGGGTTTCCCTTCTCCCCATTTCCAGCCTTGCCCCGGATACCCCAGTGCATGGTTTCATTTGACCCCCACATATTATGAGCCCTTTCTGTCCAAAAAGACTTGATGAGAAAGCCCCCCCGCCTTACTTTCCTCGCTGCTTCCCCAGGCTCCCAGCTCAGAGGCAAGGAATGGACAATGTGACCCATGGGGTCAGAATGGGGAGGGGGTCATGGAAGGCCCTGGCAGAGCCCACCCACTTCGTGCTGCCCGCCCACTCACCATCATGACATATGTGCTCATGAACTTGGCCACGAACTCTCGCGCCATCTTCCTCTCATCTTCCTCGCATCATATTTCCTGGATCTTTGCTATCACGGACCAGGAGACCATTTTGGAGCCACGGGTGGACCTGATACAGTGGCCCGAGCTCATGGACAGAAAGGAGACTCAAGTCTGCCTGCTGCCCATCGGCTCTTCAACTCACAGCTGAGTTAATAGGTAACCCAGCAGACTTGCCACACACACCTCCTCTTGCCCGGGGCAGCTGGGACAGCTGGAATTGGAGACACTTGCGAGCCATGGGGACATGGAGAGGAACTGGGGTAGATGGCCAAGCCATGCCCCTTGTAGTTGGGACTGGACCAGTAAAAATGGCACACCAATGAGGCCACTTTGCAGACGGGCAGGTGGGGAGCTGAAAGTGCAATCCACGGTGCCAACAAGCCTCTGGGAAAAAGTAGGGTGGGAGAGAGCAGGCTGGAAAGTAGAGCTCAGTAGTCTATGTCTGTCCATCTGTCTGTCTGCCTATCTGCTAGAGCCAGAACTTTGGGGTCACAGGCCAGGGCCTGGCAACAGTGAGGCACTCTACAAACAGCATGAAGTGTGACAAAGTCTGCTGCCGAGCTCTGTAAACAGCACTGAGCACTGAAACATGCGCCAGGTTCTGTCAAAAATGAAGGGGTCAGCAAAATGCACCAGGCTGTGCAACCAGGTCATTGCAAACAGAGGTTTGTGAGAGAGTGAGTGAATGAATGAATGAATGACCAAGAGAGCGGGAGGGAGAAAAGGAAGGACTGGATCTACTTCCTGGTGTATCTTCAGTGCCCAGCACCATGCCAGGCACATAGTAGATGTGCAATAAGTATTTGTTGAATGGGTGAAAACTGGGGAATCTGTCTTACTCCCAACTAGATCCTCAGAGCTTGCCAAAGGGCCTGGCACTTGATTTATATTTAGTTAATTGCACGGTTAGATGGAAAGGTAGATGAAACAGGTGAGTAACAGGTTCCAAATCTGCGTATAGGGAGAGGTATAGGACTGGAGTTTGGGGAAGGTGGCGGGGTGGGACTGGAGGATAAAGAGGAAGAAGAGGGGCTGGGCCCGGTAGCTCACGCCTATAATCCCAGCACTTTGGGAGGCCAAGGTGGGCAGATCACCTGAGGTCGGGAGTTCGAGACCAGCCTGACCAACATAGAGAAACCCTATCTCTACTAAAAAATACAAAATTAGCCAGGCATGGTGGCGCATGCCTGTAATCCCAGCTACTTCGGAGGCTGAGGCAGGAGAATCACTTGAACATGGGAGATGGAGGTTGTGGTGAGCCGAGATCTTGCCACTGCACTCCAGCCTGGGCAACAAGTGCGAGACTCCATCTCAAAAAAAAAAAAAAAAAAAAAAAGAGGAAGAAGAGGGATACAGATACCTCTAAGTGTGGCCTTAGTCACTCTGCTATCTCACTGTCTGCATGCCCGGAAGCTGACACCAGCCCCTCAACTCCTCTGGCCAGCCCATCCTTGCATATCATGTACTGCCTTAGCTGCAGGCCTTTGCACATGCCAGTCCTACACCGAGAATGGTCCCCTGCCTCCCCAGAGGCTCCTTTACCCGCCAGCCTTCTTTTCTTGACCTAAATTTCCCTTTCTCTGGGAGAGCCTCCTACCCTCTCCTCTAGGCCATTCACTTCTTCCACATGCCCCACGGTGCCCACTCTTTCAGCTGGGGCAATGCTCATCACACTGCATAGTAATTGCTCAGTTAGGCCAGGCACAGTGTCTCACGCCTGTAATCCCAGCACTTGCTGAGGCGAGCTGATCGCTTGAGCCCAGGAGTTCAAGACCAGCCTGGGCAGTATGACAAAACCTCATCTCTACAAAAAAAAAAAAATACAAAAATTAGTCAGGTGTTGTGGTGTACGCCTGTGGTCCCAGCTAATGGGGAGGCTGATGTGAGAGGATTGCCTGAGCCCAGAAGGCAGAGGTTGCAGTGAGCTGAGATAACACCACTGCACTCCAGCGTGGGTGACAGAGCGACACCCTGTCTCAAAAAAGAAAAAAAAAAAAAGCTTAATTAATTAACGGTTTTTCTTCCTAAGGGCTGGGATCATACCAGTTTGCTTCACTGCAGTGCCTGAACATAGTAGGCATAGTAGATTCAATAAATCTTTGGTTCCTTGGCTGGTTGTTGCCTGCTCTGTGCTGATGAGAAAGGAGCCAGGCTTCCAGGATTCCCTTGGTGTTCTTGGCTCCCTGCTCTGTCTAACTCTCCCCTGCCTCTATGGTACCTTCCCAGGACTGTCTTTGGGCTGCTGCTTGCATTGGTAGGGTCTCTTCTTCAGGGCTGAGGAGGCTGGTCATGGGATAATGAGACCCCTATACGATGCTGCATGGGAGCTGGAGTTGGATGGGGGCCAGTGGAATATCCGCGCAACTCTGCATCCCCCTCCATCTACTCATCCCTGGTTTTGTTTCTCTGGAGTAAGGAATAGAGCAAGGACTGGGATGGGTGAGCTATGAACAGAGGGTCTCAGCTGAAAAGTGGAAGATGTTTTATTCCATGCCTGGACGTCTCTCATTCCCTCTGCTTACTTTTTGCTGCTGTGAGGTCAGGGGAATTTAGGAGCCCTGAGGAATGCTGCTGCTCTCCCTAGCAGGGCGAGGTGACCCTCCACTGGCTCCCATCCAACCCCACCTCCCATGCTGGAGGTAACCACAGAAGAGGAGAGAGAAGTGGACAGAGCGGAAAGACAAGAACACCAAGAGAATCCTGGAAGCCTGGCTCCTTCCTCATCACCACACAGCAGGCAAGACACAGTAAGCAACAGATAACCACCAACCAGCCAATGAACTCAAGATTTCTTGAATCTACTGTGCCTAGAATGTTCAGTCACTGCAGTAAAGGACACTGGTACAATCCAGCCTGTGGGAAGAAAAGCAATCAATTGAGCAACTACTATGCAGTGTGATGAGCATTGCCCCAGCTGAAAGAGTGGGCACTGTGGGGCATGTGGAGGAAGTGAATGGCCTAGAGGAGGGGGTAGAAGGCTCCCAGAGAAAGGGAAATTCAGGTCAAGAAAAGAAGGCTGGAGGGTAAAGGAGCCTCCAGGGAGGCAGGGATCACTCTGGGCGTAGGACTGGCATGTGCAAAGGCCTGCAGCTAAGGCAGTATCCAATGTGCAGGAATGGGCTGGCCACGGAGGAGTGGAGGTGGCATGAGATGGGCAGAGAGGGGCCAGGGCCAGGTGGCAGAAGGCCTCATGGCCCACATTAGGGAGTCTGAACTCTACCAGAGGGCCATGGGCCAAGTGGAGGGTTTCAGCAGGAGAGCTGCCTCCCCTGTGGAGGCCAGGATGGAGGAAGTGGAGTGGAGGCAGGGTGAGCATCAGCTTCTCCACAGATGGGTGGAGAAGTGGTGGCAGCCTGAGCCACAAGGATGGCAGTGCCAATGGCCACAAGAGCACAGTCAAGCTGACAGGCTTGGTGTTCAGTTAGAGAGGGAAGGGAGCGGGGCAGCTCAGCGATGCCCTCAGGTCCTGGCTAGGGCAGCAGAATGACTAGCGTGGGGCACAGCAGAGAAGCTGTGGAAGAATGGACAAGGAGGCCCTTTCTGGACATGTTGAGTGTGAGGAGCCCGCTAGACACTTGGGTGGGATGGCCAGTGAGGAGGCAGCTGGTCATGTGGTCTCACTTACAGACACATTTGGAGGACAGCAAATCACAGATGGTCATCTGAGCCATGGGCATAGATGAGAGAGCTCAAGGAGAGGGTACAGACTAAGAGGGGCCCAAGAAAGCCAGCCTACAAAGCAAGAAACTGACAGCCAACCAGATCCCCTAAGTAATCTGTTAACCAAGGAACTAAATAGCTAACAACTCACTAACGCCTGTTTCTTTTCTTTTTCTTTTTCTTTTTTTTTTTGAGACAGGGTCTCACTCTGTCACCCAGGCTGAAGTGCAGTGGCACAGTCACAGCTCACTGAAGCCTAGACTTCCCAGGGTTCAAGTGATCCTCCCACCTCAGCCTCCCAAGTAGTTGGGACTACAGGAGCATGCCACCATGACCGGCTATTTTTTCCTATTTTTTGTAGAGATGGGGTTTTGCCATGTTACCAAAGCTGGTCCCAAACTCCTGGACTCAAGCAATCCTCCAGCCTCAGCCTCCCAAGGTGCAGGGATTTCAGGCATGAGCCAACATGCCCGGTGGCTTATTAACCCTTTGACTAACCTATCAAAAACCAACTAACTGATTCTCCTGTTAACCAGCTATTAACTCATTGAATTATCTAATCAACCAGTCAACCATAAACTATCCAACTAACCACGAGCCAACAATTCAACCTGCTAACCAACATTTCTTCATTCAACAAACATTTGTTGGCCAGGCATGGTGACTCATGCCTGTAATCCCAACACTTCAGGAGGCCGAGGCAGGTGGATCACTTGAGGTCAGGAGTTCAAGACCAGCCTGGCCAACATGGCAGAACCCCATTTCCACTAAAAATAAAAAAAAAATTAGCTGGGCGTGGTGGCAGGCACCTGTAATCCCAGCTGGGGTGGGGGCTGAGATGTGAGAATCGCTTGAGCCCAAGAAGCAGAAGTTGCAGTGAGCCGAGATCATGCCACTGCACTCCAGCATGGGCAACAGAACAAGACTCCATCTCAAAAAAAGAAAAAATTTTTGTTGAGCACCTACTTATGAGTCAAGCACCAGGGATACAAAGTCAAAACCCACTCTCCACTCTTGGGTCACTCTGTTTAATAGAAGAGATGGGTAATGGCAACACCACCAGAGAGAAGCAGCCTGGGACTGGGGGAACTCAGGGGAGGCATGGGAGGTGAGGCCTGAAGGGAGTTTTGAAGAATGGGCGGGTGGTGGCCTGACATGGCCATGGGGGAGTAGGGTGGTGGTAGAAAGAATGGTGGAAGCTGTGCACATTCTAGATATTTTAGGAGATTGGTGACTGGATGTGAGGCATGGGGAAGAGGGAAGTATCAAGGACATGACCTTGACTTCTGGCTTGAGCAACTGAAGAGAAGGGGACCCCTGACTGAGCCAAGAGCACAGGAGGAGTGGACTTGTGGGGGGCGGAGGAGGCTGTTTCCATCTAGGAGCTGAGTTGCCTGTGAGACACCAGTGGGTCTCTAGAAACAGGATCTAAAGCCCTGGAAAGAGACGTAGGCTAGAGGCAATGATGTCAACAGAGGGGCACTATTCATTCTCTCCGTGCAAGTGTACAACAGGCAAATATCCCTGCTTGCGTGGAGCTGACAGCAATGAAATGTAATAAGTAAGTACATTTGTATAAGCGAAGGTACCAGCTCCTATGGGAAAAAACAGAGCAAGGAGAGGGGAATTGGGAGTGCAGGGGCTGGAGATGGGGTGTGATTTCAAATAGGGCAGTCAGAGTAATCCTTGTTGAGAAGGTGGCCTTGGAGCAAAGCCATGAAGGAGATGAGAGTGGGCTGTATGTTAACTGCAGAAAGCCTCTCAGATGGAGGGAATAGTCACCAGAGGACTCTCAGCATGTTTGAAGAAAGCAAAGAAAGTCAGTGTGAGGCCAGGTGCAGTGGCTCACACCTGTAATCCCAACCTTTTGGGAGGCCGAGGCGGGTGGATCACCTGAGGTCAGGAGTTCAAGAACAGCCTGGCGAACATGGCGAAACCCCATTTCTACTAAAAATACAAAAAAAAAAAAAAAAAAAAAAACAAAAAAAAAACAACTAATTAGCTGGGCATGGTAGTGTGTGCCTGTAATCCTGTAATCCCAGCTACTCAGGAGGCTGAGGCAAGAGAATCGCTTGAACCCGGGAGAAGGAGGTTGCAGTGAACCAAGATCTTGCCATTGCACTCCAGCCTGGGCAACAGAACTGGATTCCATCTCAAAAAAAAAAAAAAAAAAAAAAAGAAAAAAAAAACCAGAAAAGAAACTCAGTGTGGCTGGAGGAGGGAGAGCAGGGGGCTGGAGTGGGGAGGCCAGAAAGCTAACAAGGACTACATAGGCAGGGCCTTGGCCATTGCAAGGACTGGCTCTTTTTCACCCCAAAGACAGCTGAGCCTGAGAGGGTGAGAGGTGCTGAGTGCAGTTGAGTTGAAGGCCACCTGCATGCCTTGACCCTCATCCAAGTATTTCTGAGCCTCCCCTCACCCCAGGACCCAGCCCAGGCAACAGGTGGAAGATGCTTTTCTTCTGGGACCTCAGAGGCGAGTGGGTGGGTGGGGAGGAGGAGGTCGAGGGGGGACAGCTGCCCCAAGGGAGAGGCTGAGGATGGAGCAGGGAGGGCACTGAAGTGGGCTGGGTGGAGGACAGGGGGCTGGAGGGTGAGAAGAGGGTGGGGTACTTACCGCCTGTGCCCAGATGCTTGAACCATGTTTTGTCCTTCAGATTTGTAGATGCTGAAGAGCCAAAGAGAGGTCACTAGGGCTGGAGGACACAGAACTTGGCCCCACACTTCCATCAGACCTTTGTCCCCAGGGGAGAAGCCCTGGGGCAGCTCCTGCTAGTGCCACTCCCTTAACCCAGCCAAGGAACAGGGAGGGAGGAGCGGTGCTCAGCCAATGAGGCGACGCCCTGGAGCCCCACCCCACCCATGCTGGCCCCAGGACCCCAACCCCAGGCCAGACCCTCCAGTGCTCCTGCTGACCTTCCCTGTCTGCAGCCCAGCTTTGGACTGTGGAGATGCCCTCAGCCTCTACTCAGTGGCTCCAGCCTCATATTTGCGTGCTATACCTTTAACCTCAAGTTCTCTTGCTGCTAACTTAAGCTGTGACTGTCCAGGACCTGCACACACACATATATGCACGCATGCACACACACACACACACACACACACGCAGAAGGTGAACACACAGGATGAGGCCCTGAAAACTCATTTCACCCGTGTACCTCACCCAAAAATTCCCCTTTGTACTCCTATCTTTATCTCTAACAGACAGCATGAAGGTAGCCCGAAGTCCCCTCACCCTGTCTGTCCTCCTGATTCTCTAGCCCAGTTCCCTCTAGCTCCAGCACAGACTCTTATCTCCAGCCCTGACTGCTGAAACCCTCCAGCCCCAGCTCCAGCCCCTCAGGAGGGGACTGCGTGGGAGGAATGACTCCAGCAAGCCGGCAGCTGACCCGTCTCTGGCCTGCATGCCTCCCCCTGTGGTCCACTGCCGGTGGTCTTCAGCTCTCTCCTCGTCCCACCCCCATGGTCTGCTGACAGCCCAGCCCAGTGCATCCCTGCCATCTCTGCTCTACCGCTGGTCCTCCCAACAACCAACTTACAGGTAAGGAAACTGAGGCCCAGAGAGAAGGTGTATGTGCCTGTGTCACACAGCAACACAGGACTGCACCATAACAAGAAAGCCGGGACTTCCACTCCCAGCCGGGGCTCCTTCCCCAAACAATCCCTCAGTCACCTCCTCGCTGTATGGTACCCAGGGAATGACCCTTCCAGATCTGGGCACTGAGGAGGCTGCCCCATCCCCACCCTGCCTGGAGCCCCACTCACTCTGCTGAAATGTCTTCTGATTCTCAGCCTCTGCCTTGGGGGCTTCTCAGTTAAAGCGCATCTTGATCTTGTTCCTCTGTGACTGTCTCTGGCTCAGCTTCCACCCCCAGCTGGGGCTCAGCTATCCCTGTGTCCCCAGTCCAGAGCCTGCCTCTCAGCCCTCCCAAGGCGGCCTTGAGCGCTGCTCCTGCTCCTCCAGGGGAGAGGTCAGTAAGGCAGGGATTTGGCTGGTGCCACTTGAACCAAGTCCAGATGCACTGCCCAAAATAACATCCCTCGTCTGGCCAGCAGTGCAGTGGAGACTGAGTTCTGAAGCAGGCCTTTGTGAGGTCAGAGGTGGAGTTCTGGGTGGGCACTCTGGGCCTCACAGTCCCAGAGGAAAGGCCTGTCCTCCAAGCCAATGTGCAGCCTGACTCTGGGGCCAGCGCCTGAGGAAGCCCTCCCTGAGCCCCAGCCCTGGGGAAGGCTGAAGAGGCCTCTGAGCTCCCAGCGCTGGGGAGCGCTGTGCAGAATAGGACTGGAGGTGGAAGTGTTGGAGATTAACAGCCAGATGGAGGGGACGGGGGGAGGCCCTGGGTCAGTCCTCAGGGAACCCCCATTCTGAAGGGGGAGAGGGAAACTCAGGCCCAGTCCTCAGGGGCCCCCAGTCTGAGAGGAAGGAGGACACACGAGCCATATTTGCAGAGAAACACCAGCCTGCGAGAGGAGGTAGAAGCCCAGGCCTGGCCCTCCGAGGGCCCCTAGTCTGAGGAGCAGTCCACCTGCCCTCGGGAAAACACCTCCCTTAGGAAAGGCCAGCAAGGCCCCCGTAAAGGAGCCACAGCTGGATCGGGGCATGGGGCTCGGGGCCCAGCGGTGTGGGAGCTCCGGGACCGAGGTGCAGTCAGGAGAGACCCTGGGGGCCAGTGGCAGTCCAAGAGGACTTTTGGAGCCAAGGCCTGACTGGGTCTCAAACAATGGGGCAGGCAGTTTGGGGTTTCAGCAGGTGGCCCGGTGCTGAGACACAAGGGAGTTGTTTCTGGTCTGCAGACACTGAGGACACTTGCTATGTGGCGTGGTGGATGGTGGGTAAGTCCTGGGAATTTCTGGCACCAGGTTCCCTGGGTGGGAAGGGGCATAGGATTCAGTTGTCCAAAGCTCAGGTGTGGGAATGGAACTGTCCTGTAGAGGGTGCCAAAGACCAGGTCTGGAAACTGCATAGCCCCAGTCCCCACCCCCACACACACCATCCCACCCCTTCCAGCTTTTTCTGCAGATCTTTCTGCAGGGGTGAGGCAGGGAGAGGAAGGGGTCGGCCGCAGTTCTGGGGCTTCCTAGTCAGAAGCCCTCTGTAAGGCACTAACTTCCCTCTTCCCTCTGCAGATTTTTTTTTTTTTTTGAGACGGAGTCCTACTCCACCCAGGCTGGAGTGCAGTGGCACAATCTTGTCTCACCACAGTCTCTGCCTCCCAGTTCAAGTGATTCTCCTGCCTCAGCCTCCCAAGTAGCTCGGATTACAGGCATGCACCACCAAGCCCAGCTAGTTTTTTTGGATTTTTAGTAAAGACGGGGTGTCACCATATTGATCAGGCTGGTTTCGAACTCCTGACCTCAGGTAATCCACCCGCCTCGGCCTCCCAAAGTACTGGGATTATAGGTGTGAGCCACTGTGCCCGGCCTCCCTCTGCAGATTCTACATGGGCTCTAAGCAGCCTCTAAATTGCCTGAACACCTAAGGCTTATTTGCTAGTTGACATCTGATCTATTCTGACACTGAAAATTTCAGTGCTTTAGGGTGCTAAAAGGAAAAAAGAGGGTTTGCAAGGAATCCTGCAGTTGCTGAGGGGGTACCCTGATAAGGGAATTTTAAGCAATTACAGTAAGTGTCACTAAACTTTTTAAAAAATCTTTAACCAGATTAAACTTACACAATTTTGTTATAATTTGTGTTTCTGCAGCTTCCAATTGTGGACAAGATAAGGACCATTGCCCAGGCTGTCTATGGAGCCAAAGATATCGAACTCTGTCCTGAGGCACAAGTCAAAATAGATCGTTACACTCAGCAGGTAAAAGTTGTACTTTTAGGGGAAAAGAAAAAATTCACCTTAGGCTCTCAGAATACTCAGCTTGACTTGAGGATTTGTACATGTCTCACCAGCTAACCTTTGCTTAATCTATTTTCTGGTTAACAAAGATGAAAGCAATATCCTCGGGTAGAGTGTACACTATATTTAGAACTTTATGGTGAGGCATGTATCCTCTGATCCATGCACCATTTACTTCTGTGACTATAAATGTGTCTGATATGGGTGGTATCCCTGTTTGTAGGTGATGTGTGATCTTTCATCCCTCCCACTCAGCCCAGAACGTTGAAACTATCCTTTGGAGTAGAGCTGCGGAGTCAGATTTGCATGAATTGCAATGCTTCCTCTTCCTTACAGGCCTCTTACTACCTTAAAAATGCTAGCAAGGTGCCAGGGTAGGCAGATAGGAGTGCAGCCTATAAAGATGGGAATGTTTGCTGTTCTTATGCAAGCGGTTCATTGGCTTTTTACTGAGCTGGTCCACTGAGGTTGAAGGCTCCATCATCTTCTACCTCTAGCCACTGAGAAAGGCAAGTAGGCAAACAGCTGGGAAGGTGGCTACGATCTGACAGCATGTGTCATCACCTAGTCCAGTGACAGTCATGATGAATCAACTCCATTACAGGAGGCTCAGCCACCTTTTACCAAAAGGACCATGTGCCTCCAGTGTCCCTCCTACTTTGGTGTAATCAGATAGATAGAAGTCAGAACATTTTAAGAGCCTGTTGGCTAAAGAGCTTCATGATTGGTAGTGTTGACCTTATCTTTAAAAACAATCTCCAACTCCTTATTCTTTTTTGTAAACCCATTTGAAATTTTGTTAAATGCTACCATTGCCAGCCAGGGTATTTGTTCTCCTAGGTTTGGTAAAATAGGAACTCAGAAAGTTCTAAATTCTTAGAATTTTCCCTGATGTTCTTGGCTTACCCTTTACAAAAAGGATTCCCAAGCACTGCTCTGTGCCTAGGCATTGTGGTGAAGTTTTCATTCATGTGCAATGAACCAAGTAAAATAAGGTCATTCTCATGAGGTTGCTTTGTTTTTTATTCCCCGAGTTTTTAATAATGATATTTAAGACTATCATTTATTGTAATATTAAGTCTTTTCTCCTTTCAGTGTTAAAATGTTATTTCTTTTATGAAGTAATCTGGTGACAGTATATAGCATACTGGTTGGTTTCTGTTTCTTTTTAATATGCCATGCCTACTAACAAAATTTTTACATTAGCAAACCTGTAGAAATTACTTTAATATTTAACCATGTCTGAAATTCAAAATTCTGGCACCATTCTGAAAGGCAGTTGTGATTCTCACTCAGCAAAATTCTTATCAGTATAGAAGAGTGGAGATTTCAAAAAGAAAATGGCCCCAAGCCCAAGTCCTCCCTAAGTTGATAAGACTCTAAGATCTTCCAAATAGTTTTAGGCTAAGTCTTATGAAAATTTGACTAAAGATTTCATTCCCTTTATCTCTATCAAGGAAATACTCCTTAAAAGTCGTGTCAACCAGGCACGGTGCTCACACCTCTAATCCCAGCACTTTGTGGGGGCAAGGCAGAGGATCAGTTGAAGCCAGGAGTTTGAGACCACTCTGAGCAACATAGCAAAACCTCCATCTCTATTTTTATTTTTTTTAAAGTTAGTGCCAAGTATGTGGTTGCAATGAATTAGCAAAGCCTCTAAAGGAACACTGTGTGCCATTTAATCAGAAACAGGCTTATAGGACACTGTGCTTTTTGTGAGACACCACATGTGACTTCCTGCTCTTTCACCTTTGGAACTCTGGGTCAGACATAGACTTTGGTCCTTAAAAACAAGAAGCTTAAATAGTGACCTCATCTTAGCTCTTGTAATGTAGTTGCAGATCAAATAACCATGATTCATAAACCAACACAAAGGAACCCTTTGCTTCTTGACTGACTCCAGAATGAGTGAACAACATGACTAAGAGCCTAGTCGCAGAGCCTTTCTCCAGACTACCTTGCTGGGTCCCGGATATTAATAGTCTTGGAAAGCGGTTTCTACAGCTGCTGCTTTGCCTGCAAATAGCAATGCTTTTCCCAAACATGCACATAACACTGCCTTCTCTTAACGAGAACCTCCAAAATAAACAATAGTCACCCCTGACCTACTAAACAGTCATCACATGGAGATGAGTTTTTATCCTTCACATGGAGATGAGTTTTTATCCTCACCTTCTTGCTTCTTCAGTGAACAAGTAGTAACAAGCAGCTCCTGCGTGTGCCTGGATCTGAGCTGGCATACCATTGCTGCCGAGACTGTATAAAGTGCAAATTGAAAAACACAGGAGACTCACGTCTATATCAGTGAACACATTTTCTTTCCTTTCTTACAGGGTTTTGGAAATTTGCCCATCTGCATGGCAAAGACCGATCTTTCTCTGTCTCACCAACCTGACAAAAAAGGTGTGCCAAGGGACTTCATCTTACCTATCAGTGATGTCCGGGCCAGCATAGGTGCTGGGTTCATTTACCCTTTGGTCGGAACGGTGAGTGAGTCACATTTTCCAAAATCCCTCCCCATTCTGCATTGTCGCAGTGCCTCAAATCGTTATGCTCCACCCGCTCTTTAAAAATCATGGATTAGGGAGAATTGGGAGTAATTAATAGTACAGTATTCGCTATTTTTCTAAACACTCTGTCTCACCTACCTTTGCCATTGTGCTTTGGGTTTTTCTTTTTTTAGATCATGTGTTCAGGATCCTTAGAGTCATAATACTAATTTCCTTCCTAAGGCAAGTAAGAACATAACTTGGGAGAATTCAGTCTATTTAAATGGTAGAATGGCTTAGGACAGTGGTTGTCAACCTTTGTCACACATAGCACCCAAAATGATGTAATCAGTAGGGTTGAATGCTCACACCAGACAGGATCTGCCCAGTCACCCTAAGGGCTGGGGAAAGCAGTCCTCACCCTCTCACTTCCCCAGCACATCAGGTGGGAAGTTCTGGCTTAGGAAATTACTGAATCATATGAATTCTCATTTTTGATGTTGTTGTGATGGGATTACGTTGCTATTGGTTGATTATTCTGTTATTTTGTGTTATCTATGGAGGTAAAGGAGATGAGCAGAGATATAAAAGCTTATCAAAGTGCTTAAAATCCATGAAGATTGGCTTCATTTGGTATAGCTACACAGTGATAGCCTTCCGTTGGTACCATCAGTGGCCTAAATTTGATTTCTTGTCTTTGGGAGTGCTCCTGAATTTGGTTTAGAATAAAAAAGAATTCTTAAAACCTGGCAGATCCCATGGCAAGAAAAGAAAAAAAATTCTAACCCATCATTATCATCATCATTAGTGCAAAGTGATCTGAGCTTAAACAGCATACATTATAATAATTTTTTATAATAAACCATGTGGCTCTATTGTGCAAACAAGCAATAGACAGACAAAAAGTGCAGATTCTTGCCTTGATATTTACATGCTTCATCTAATATTGGACACAATGTTTTTTCAATCAGCATCATTTGAATTCTTCCTGCATGTGAGGCACAGAGATTTTAAGATGAGCAGGTGTGAGATGCATGGATTTGAATAGCATAGAGGTATCTGGAGAGCATTGTGTTGGTATTCTGAATACCCTCAGATCCCAGGGGGATAACAGCTCATTATGCCTGGGGTAGAACTTACCTGGGCTGTGGAAGAAGAGGGGATTCTTCAAAAAGGGCTCAACCTCTGAACTGGCAAAACAGTGAGTTTTGACTCAAAGGCACCAGAGTACTAATACATGACATCCTCTCCTGGGGTGATCCAATGTGGCTGGAGTTGGATGAGGTGGGGAGGCTGGGGATGGGAATGGGAATGGGATTGGGATAGCAGGACGGGGTCACATGGCCAAGGATCTTGAAGACCATCTCACGGAACTTGAATCTGATCTCTACACACTGAGGAGCCACGGTAGGGTGGGTTTTTTGTTTGTTTCTTGGTTTTTTATTTTTTTGATTTTTTGTTTTTAAAGAAGGAGGAGAAGAATGTGGTCTGATGTGTATTTTAGAAAAATAGCTCTGGCAGCAATGTGGAGAATGTTTAGTGAAAAGAGAACCAGGTCCAGAGAGGTGGGTTAATTCAGCTGGGGCCAGAGGAAATCAAGGTCCGCACTTTGGCCACAGAAGTAGATACAGAGAGTGGGGGGTGAATTGCAGACATACTCTAAAAGTATCCTCCTACAGTAGGGGCCGGGTGAAGGGACTGTTCTAGCTTGGTGACTGGCTGGTGATGCCATCACCGTGTCATGGAAAGGACATGGGAGGAGGCAGATTGGCCAAGCCAGAAATGAGCCTGGCTTGAAGAGAGAGAGCTCAGAGGGTTAATAGGATCTAAGGAACAGTCTGTGTCTCCACTGGAAATACAGATACAGCTCTCCAAAGAAAGGGGCAGGAAGGTCGCCCTGGTGGGTTTAAGGATATGGGTGAAGGCACTCATTAAACAAGAGACACAGGGATAGCTGGAAATCAGTGAGAAGAGAGTAAAGGAAGACACCCCTGAAACACCCACTTTAATGCAGCCGACTCCTGGCAGGGGTGCCTTCCAGAAGGCAGGAAGGAAGGAGCAGGGGCATGGCAGAGAACGTCCAGAAAAATCCCACAGACACCGCTCACAGCAATGTTGACACAGAGAGAAGGGTCCAGATGAAATGGGTTCTGAATGACATTTTCAGGTCTACAGTTCAGATCAGCAGTTGCCAGGAGCTGGGGGAGGGAAGTGTTTGACTGCAGAGGGGCAGGAGGGAACTTGTTGGGATAATGGAAATACCCTATGTTTTGACATGGTAGTGATTCCATGGCTATATACATTCTTCCAGACTCATAGACCTATACACGTGTGTTGCCCAGGCTGGACTCAAACTCCTGATCTCAAGCAATCCTCCCACCTCAGCTTCCCAAGTTGCTGTGACTATAGGTTCGTGCCACTGTGCTGGGCCTGTGTATCATTTAGTTATACCTCAGTTAACAAAAATGGGTAGTGAAGAGCTTGCTGTATATTCCTTAGAATGGCCTCAGTCAGCCGGGTGCAGTGGCTCATGCCTGTAATCCCAGCACTTTGGGAGGCCAAGGTGGGGGGATCACAAGGTCAGGAGTTTGAGACCTGCCTGGCCAAAAGGGTGAAACCCCATCTCTACTAAAAATACAAAAATTTGCTGGGCATGGTGGCGGGCACCTATAATCCCAGCTACTTGGGAGGCTGAGGCAGGAGAATTGCTTGAACCTGGGAGGCAGAGGTTGCAGTAAGCCAAGACTGCACCATTGTGCTTCAGCCCGGGTGACAGAGCAAGACTCCATCTCTAAATACATACATACATACATACATAGAATGGCCTCAGTGATGGCCACTTTACTCCTGAGCTTTAGTTGGCAAAGGCCTTGGCTTAGGGATAAGAGGGTGGCTGGACAGTGCAGGCCCAGAGAGACTGGACCATCAGGGGAAGTGAGGGGTGATGGAGGTGCCCAAACAGAGCATGAAATGGTAGAGTAGATGAGAAGGTTAGCCTCGATCACGATCTGTCCTGTCCTACCCTCTGCGGACTCTAAACCCCGCAGCAGTTCACCCAACAAATTCATGCACTCGGCCAATGCTGCATAAGGCACTCAGCTCGGGGCTACAGGAAGCCCCAACCTAAAGAAACTTTCTCTGCTTCAGGTAGTTTACAGCTGGTAGACGCAGATAGAAGTGAATTAGCAAAGAAAATAGTTTGATATAAAAATTGTGCATTTAACTGCAACCTTAATTCACTTCTGAGCATTTAATAGCCATTAAACAAAAACCAGGGCCCACACAGTGGTTCACACTTACAATCCAAGCACTTTTGGAAGCCAAGGTAGAAGGATTGCTTCAGGCCAGGAGTTCAAGACCAGCCTGGGCAACATAGCCAGACTGTATCTCTACTTAAACCAAAATTAGCCAGGAGTCATGGTACACACCTGGAGTCCCAGCTACTCAGGAGGCTGAAATGGGAGGATTCCTTGAGCCCAGGAGTTTGAGGCTACACTGACCTATGATCATATCATTGCACTCCAGCCTGGGAGATAGAGTGAGACCTCTGTCTCTAAAAAAATGGAATAAAATAATAAAAAACACAATATAATTTAAAATCTTTGGAGTCACTAAACAAATATACAATGTGAATCTCCTCCCACTCCAGCTAACACTACCATATCCAACACCAGGTAAAGACCAAAGCCGTTCTGGGAAATCAGAATCTGTTGCCATGGCTCATGCCTGGACACCAGGCTGTCCGCTCCTGATGTCACTCTTTGACTTATGACTTGTTAGAAAATGAATGCGTGGAATGGCCCTGGAGGAGCCGCTGCAGCTCTCTGGGTTTCCTGAAGTGAGCCCTCTGTGTCATTATCTGGTCTTCTCAGCCCTCAGCCGAGTTCCTCCTGTGGCCACATGTGGGGTCGCAGTGAGCATCAGTGCACAGTGATAAAATCTGGAACAATAGGGTGTTGGGTGTGAGGGAAGGGAGTGGTGCCTGACTACAGAAGTTCCTGGAGGTCAGGAAACTCTCACTGGAGGCAGTGGCCCTAGAGGGCTGCTTTCTATGACAGAGCAGGAAGCTGCATGTGTACTGGGACACATGCAGCAGAGGGGCCAGGATCTCCTAATAAGGACTGGTATTTACTTTTACTTGAACCCATTCTGGGCCTTACCACAGTGTGCTGAAATGCCTTGAACATTCATCACCCATGTGGGAGAAAGGATAGTAATTTCCTGCTGAGATGACTGAGGGGACAGGGAATGGGGACACCAGGGGGACTGGCTCCTGCAGGTTGGAAAATTCTAGCAAAACGAATCACTCTTCTGCTTAGTCACCCAATGTGCGCTTATTAGAGTGCTGCTGAAAAACATATTCGTCTATCCACTCCAGAAAGATAGTCCAAACTGAGACCTCAAGATCAGAAAGGCTCCCAATCTCCTGCAGGGTTCATTCATTTACTCAGTGAATTATTAAATGCCTACAGCACGCAGGGCCATCAGCCCAACGGCTATGAGAAAGAGATTCAGTCCTTTCCTCACAGGCCTTATGATAGACTCCAGTAAATAAAACAATACAGGCACAGAATGTGGCAGGCTTTATAAGAAAGCCTCTCTTGTTGTGTCCTCAAGGGAAGCAGAGAATCTCCCCTCTGGCTCTAGTTGGAGAATCCCAACCCAAGCAAGTCCATCTTTGAACAATAAACATCTCCAGTACTGCTGGCTTTGGAAGACCCCATGGTGAGATGCTGGAGCTTTTTTCCGCTCCTGATTTCACTTTCTAAATATTTACTTTTACTTTCCATGTTCACTTGTAGGCCAGATTTTTTTTCCTACCATTGAATTATTTCATCATGTTCTATTTAATTATTGTCTTAATTGGCATTGGTGACCACAAATAATAATAAATACTATTAACTGATGTAACAGCTTCACTAGTCTATTTAACTTCCCCATGCTGTTGTAACTGAAGCACCCAGCACAAGCATTCCCAGCTCGTGGACGTCTAAGACCTTTGAGGTCATTCTTACATGCATTGCTAGTGTTTTCCATATTCCTTGATGGTAACCAATTTTTCCTTCCTAAAATAACTTTCTTCATTCCTAGTAAGCTTCATATGTATTTTGTGTATTCTTCCCTCTTTTTTATGACATTATACATATTATTGAAAGCTAGAAAATAATACAAGATGCTTGACTGACATAATACCACTTAGTACATCTTTTTGTAAGAAATAGATTTTCTAATACAAATCTTTGATATAGGAAGAAATGAGCAAGTGTTTTTTAAGGTTTTCCAACCCTATATTCTACTACAAATTACCCTGTTATCGTATGCTTCCAAAATTCTTTCAAGGATTACAGTTTATAGTGTTCAATAAACCTAATAGTTTATAAAACTTCTCAAAAAATAATCTCATGCCAAAAATAATTTAGTAGTAGGTGGTCTTTGTCTTGTGGTCACATTGTTTTGATATTGTCTTTAAGTTTCTGTAATTTACAAGGGCTGTTTAATCAGTTGGCATAAATTTCATGACAAAAATGCTAATATGTAAGCAAAGTATATGAAATGATATTTTTGAGAAGTAAATTACATTCCATATAGAAAAAGACTAGAAAGACTACACCAAAACCTTAAATTAGACAGTGATATTATGAGTAGCTTTTTTTCTTCTCTTTTTTGTATAGATCAAATTACTACGTTGGGTGTATATCACTTTTATAACATGAAAATACAGTAAATAGGGCGATGATAAACTGCAAGTGCTTGGGGAGAAGGCTTAACTCAGGCCAGTTGCAAGAGAGTGAGAACACACACGCAGCCTGTGGGAGCGGGCTCCGTGCCATCACCTGGCCGGTCCTGGCTGTGTTGCTGTGTTTTCGCACCTCAAAAGTTGGGACAGCAAGGAAAGGCCATAAGAGCTAGAATGTTTCTATAAGAAGTGTATTCAGTATGATTTGTCTAGCTCTGACTAATGTGTGCAAACCCCAGATTCCACTAAGCAAATGCAAGATTGTTTTTCCCTGTTAATTTTTTCCTGGGCCCTTCTTGCTTACTGTGTTGGGCATTGGAGAGGGGGTGATTGACTTCTTTCTTCTCACAGTGTTTTCTCTCGCTCTCTTTTTTTTTTTTTTTTTTTTTTTTTTTTGAGACAGAGTATTGCTCTGTCACCCAGGCTGGAGTGCAGTAGCATGATCTCGGCTCACTGCAACCTCCGCCTTCCAGGTTCAAGTGATACTCCTACCTCAGCCTCCCAAGTAGCGTGGACTACAAGTGCATGCCACCACATCTGGCTCAATTTTTATATTTTTCATAGAGACTGGGGTCTCACCATATTGGCCGGGCTGTTCTCAAACTCCTGACCTCAAGTAAGCCACCACGCCCAGCCATCTCTCACAGTGTTTTTTAAAACAACAATGCATTTTCACAACAGTTGGCCTGGAGAGGTGTCCAACCAAGTTGGAATTCATAGCAGATATCCATTTGAAGTTAATTTTTGGTGTATTTGACTGTTTTCCATTGACTTCACATTGAGGCAGTGAGAGAGAATTGAAGAACTTAGAATATGAACCCTTTTCTCACTGGCAAACATGGGACATAGAGGCATGTCTTGACAGCAATTTATGGCAACACTCTGGGCTGGAATCTAGGGGTTAGGCAGCCTGGCCGGTTTTGTAAATTAGTCAGGCCACCCTCAGAGTCAGTTTGAGGGTTTAGTGGGAAGCCTGAATAAAAAGAGAAGTTAAACTTTTAAGAAAAGGGTCAAGCTTTAAAACTGGAATTGGCTTTTCAAATTTAATGAGTAAAAAGAAACCCCAAAACTGGAATTGTAATTGTGGAGAAGTACAAATTATAATATTTGGAATATCACCTACAAGGAATGAAACTATCCAGAAGCATTTAGATGGTAGTCATTGATTGTAGGGCATCTCTGGGGGCAGGGTGGCTCCTGGCACTGTAGAGAAAGACCATCGGTGCTTCCGTCTCCCAGTTGGAGGAAAGGGATACACTGTGGAGGTCCCAGCAGCTTAGGGCCTGCCCCCATGTGGTTATGTCTGCATGGTTTCCTTCCCTCTGTCTTCCTGTAACTCTTTCACCCTGGCCCCTGTGCCCTTTCTGGGCAGAGGGTGACAGGAGGCACTGCATGGGTGCATTCTTTTTTTGGTTTTTGAGACAGAGTCTTACTCTGTTGCCTGGGCTGGAGTGCAGTGGTGTGATCTCGGCTCACTGCAACCTCCATCTCCCAGGTTCAAGCGATTCTCCTGCCTCAGCTTCCCGAGTAGCTGGGATTACAGGTGGCCACCACTACGCCCAGCTAATTTTTTCCAATTTTAGTAGAGACAGGGTTTCACCACATTGTTCAGGCTGGTCTCAAACTCCTGACCTCGTGATTCACCCGCCTCAACCTCCCAACGTGCTGGGATTACAGGTGTGAGCCACCGCCCCCGGCCAAGTACATGCTTTTTTTCCTCTTGTTGGGATTGGCCTGGGCTATACCTATCTCATGGTGGAAGCCTGCCTAGGGACCAGGCCCTAGAAGACCAGCAGTTTATTTAACTGGGTTGGCCTTTGTCCCCACTCCCTGTGACCCGGCCCTGCCATATCTTTACCCAGGTGCACCACTGACATCATGGCTCGGCTGGACTCTGGAAAGCAGGAAATTGCTGGAGCATGTTTGGGCATCAATGATGTCACCCGCTACGAATGCCGGGTGGGGTTACTGGACTGAGGGCCATGAAAAAAGAAAGCTGCGGCCCTGCCCCGTGGACTCACTGCCATTCTGTTCTTTCTCACGTTTCAGTTCAGCTCACTTTGTTTTCCGTCCCCCTCCCTCTACTGTAAAAGTATGTACTCATTGTTTCATTTCCTGCTGGATCTGATTCAGGTCAGTGATGAAGTTCTTTGCGAGCTCAGTGGGGAGGCGTTTCCTCCCTTTCATACCGGCCCTGCTTAGGGATGCATGGTTGGTTATATACTTGCTTCACTCGGTTAGGCATGGAGGAGAATTCATTCAGACCTCATAGGTTTAAATCAAATGCATGACCCTTCACATTTTCCAGAGATTTAGACAGTTACAGTGAGACAATTAAACATTCACCCCCCAAGCTGCACTTGGAGATGTGTAAGCAGTAATGTAGTCATGCGCTCCCCATGATATGAGAGTGTGCAGAATGCCACTCCCCACAGCAGGTCCACCAGGACCTCCTCAGGGAGCATCTTGCCTACAAAATCACCCATCCCTTTTCCCCCACTTTCTTCACTTTCCCTACGTTTCCACTCCCACACCCACAAATAAACAAAGAAACTTTGAGCTTATTTTACAAAAGTCTTTGAAATGGCCCTCCTCTCTCCGATGCTCCTGGGCCCTGGTTTGGCCCCATCTGTGCAGTCTCTCTGATGAGTGTGAAATAAGCCAGGTTTGGCTCATGCTCTCCCTGTGAGCTTGCTCTCCCCGTGAGCCTGCCCTCTCCATCTGGCCTCACTTTGTTTGTGTCCCTGGGTCCTTTGTCTCTGATCCTGGGATCCTGGTGGTTTCCTCCTCCCCGCCCAGCTTGGGTCCTTTTCCCCAGGGTTCTTCCCTATCTCTACATCAGAATTTCCTGCTTTCTCCCAAATATGCATTTCCCTGGCCCAGGCATCCATTGCTTCCTCTCATCGTGAGGTCCCTGCAGCAGACTGCCAATGGTGTTGTGGCCATGCCTTCCTCCACAACCCAGGGAAAGCTACATGTGTGTCTGTCCCATAGGGAAGGAGTCATCCCTGTCTCTTCAGTGTGGCATGTTCAGGAGGAAGGAAAGTAACCAGCGTCATTCTCAACTTCCGGAAACTGTTTATCATATTGACAAGAAGAAGAAAGCTTTGCGACTCATGAGAATGATGTTTTCCTCTCTGGTACATAAGGTTATGTAGGTCCAATCCATTGTGTAGAAGATCTTTTCTCCCTTAATGGGATGTACACTTATTTTTAGCACAAGTATAAAACTACTTTAAATGAAGTCAGCCTCAGCCAGGGAAATATGCTGAGTAATAATGTTGCCAGGTACTATACCACTGAGTTGAGTTTGCAATTCACTGCTATTAATCCCTGCATGTTAGTTCTGAATTTTTACTCTTTGCATACGTAGAAAAAATGGTGTTTCTCTTCAGAGTCAAGGAGGGAAAAAAGAAAAGTTAAAAGACACTTATAACACTTTTGTGTCCACCCCTAAAATCAGCATATTGATCTACTATTTTTCTAGGTATTGATGGAATATTGACTCATATACTTTCATACAACTGCTAATATATATATATATATAGACTCATTTTTCTTCTTCCACTTTCATCTACAGCCTATTTGTTTTTCTCCCCCCATTTTTCGTTTGGATTCATAGCATAAATTGACAACAAAGATACATCTCAATTTAGAGCTTCCAAAAGGCACCCATAAAAGTATCTGGTGCTCATGGAATTTCTCTTTCTTCTGTGTCTCTTAGTTACACTTTTCTCTTATTACACTTTTCTATCCAGCCGTGGCTAAGAGGCATATAATCAGAAGCAGCTAAGCAATGTATGCAAGGGAAATAAAATGAACACAAACCAAGATAACCGGTTTTGTAAATTAGATAGCAAGGCCACCCTCAGAGTCAGTTTGAGGGTTTCGTGGGAAGCCTAAGAAATATAACTGATATAACTGATATATTATCAGTTATAAAAAAAGTTATAAGAAAAGGGTCAAGCTTTAAAACTGGAATTGGCTTTTCAAATTTAATGAGCAAAAAGAAACCCCAAAACTGGAATTGTAATTGTGGAGAAATAGAACTGATAATATCTGGAACTTGCAGCAGTTTACAGGCTTAACTATGTATGTGTTCCTTAAATTATCCACCCGCAGATATCAGATTACAATAAGTCCTCACTTAATGTCATTGATAGGTTCTTGGAAACTACCACTTTAAGCAAAAGGACATAATGCATACGAAACCAGTTTTCCCATAGTCTAATTGATAGGAAAAAGAGTTGAGTTATGAAGCCACACAGTACCTCGTTTGGCTTAAAGTCACTGTTTCCAAGAACATATCCACAATGTTAAGTAAGGACTTACTGTAAATGAAAATATTTGCAGTAAATCGCTTTTGAGAGAATTGGTTATCACACTCTTCTCTGGGTATCACTGATCACTGAAAATTCAGAATGTTTAGTTACATCAGGCTATACTCACTGGTATGAAATCAGGGAGCAAGTATAAAGTAGGTGTAGGGAAATAATTTATGTTGGATTAAATGATCCAATGAAGGAATTTTATTAAGCCCCTAGAAATCCCAGAATGAAAATGTATAACTGCATGACTAACCCCTGTAAGAATTTGCTGGGGTTTCTGCATTATGTACGCTTCCCAGGCCATTTGTAATGAAGCTACCGTGATCTGTTAAGGAAGAGACCTACACATGGGAACATAAACAGCCAATTCCATCCTGGACATCAGTCTCCTGTTTGACTCATTCCAACCCCAAGAATATGTTGTAGAGTGTAGGACCCATGAAAGTTACCTACAGTGCTTCCCTGTACCTTCCATCATCCAGTTCCCAAACATACCTGTGTTTCTTCTCTGAATGCATAGTTACTTGGGATCCCATGTTGTATTAGTCTGTTCTCACACTCCTGTAAAGAACTACTTGAGAGTGGATAGTTTATAAAGAAACAAGGTTTAATTGACTCAGTTTTGCAGGCTATACAAGAGGCATGGCTGGGGAGGCCTCAGGAAACTTACAATCATGGGGAAGGCAAAGGGGAAGCAAGTACATAGTCACATGGCGGCAGGAGAGAGAGTGAAGGGGCAGTGCCACACACTTTTAAACAACCAGATCTCAGAACTCACTAGCACGAGAACAACAAGGGGGAAATTCACCCCCATGATCCAGTCACCTCCCACCAGGCCCCTCCTCCAACACTGAAGCTCATAATTCATCATGAGATTTGGCTGGGGACACAGCACCAAACCATATCATATGCCTTTCCCAGGACTGGTGTTGGAGGAACAGTGCCTTTGTCACACCTACCAGAATATACTCACCCACTTCCAGACACTCCATTTCTCTTTCAAGCACACCTCCTCACTTGTGCTGCCAGCTAAGGTTTACTGCAGTTACTTCCTTTGTGTGTCCTCTTACCTTACCAAGTCGCCTCACCCACCACCTACTGTTAATTAAATTACCACCTCCCCCACTTCCCCACCTCCAGAGTAGAGACTGTCTCTTCAGTTCTCTTGGCCTTCCCACAATGGGAAGTCTGGTGTGGAACATACCCTAGGAGCCAACTAAATGTGGTAGTGGCCTGCCAACCCTGCAGAGGGCTAGCAAATCTTCAGGGAGTCTGCTGCCGGTGGAAACTCACCAGTACTAGAATCCCAGGCTCCAAAGAAGTCTAGAAAAGTACGTCTTTTAAGGAGCTAATAAGAGGTTCAAGTTTCCACAAATCCTATCTGCTCTTGGCCTAGTTCTTTTGGGATCAGTGTGCTAGTCTCTCTTGTCAAACTAGTTACTGACCAGCAAGACTAAAAAACCAGGCCCAAACACATTCTATTCATGTGCTTAGATATAGACCTATGGATCAAATATCCCACTGTAAAGCAAAAAAGCAAACTGTTTTTCCCTTGTACTCTCACACTCAACAATAGCACACTTCTGTGGCTGGCTGTGTGGGGGCTTTTCCTTACACACCAAACATTTCTCACAGAGACCAACTGGGTGTCCTCTTATTCAATTCAATCCTGACACTGTCTACCTGCAGATAGTGTCCAATCCCACAGATTGACGGCTCGATCCCATGAGACCAGCCCCACTTCAGGCACTAATTCCAAGTCCAGGCAACGCATACTTCTGACTGCCTGGCTAAAAACTACATCCACGCCCGGTCATGGTGGTTCACGCCTGTAATCCCAGCACTTTGGGAGACCAAGGCGGGTGGATCACTTGAGATCAGGGGTTTGAGACCAGCCTGGCCAACATGGTGAAACCCCGTCTCTATTAAAAATACAAAAATTAAACTGGGCACGGTGGCTCACACCAGTAATCCCAGCACTTTGGGAGGCCGGGGCAGGCGGATCACGAGGTCAGATCAAGACCATCCTGGCTAACACGGTGAAACCCCATCTCTACTAAAAATACAAATAAAAATTAGCCAGGCATGGTGGCGGACGCCTGTAGTCCCAGCTACTTGGAAGGCTGAGGCAGGAGAACGGCCTGAACCCATGAGGTGGAGCTTGCAGTGAGCAGAGATCATGTCACTGCACTCCAGCCTGGGTGAGAGAGCGATGCTCCATCTCAAAAAAATAAATAAATGAAATAAAATACAAAAATTAGCTGGGTGTGGTGGCGGGCTCCTATAAGCCCAGCTACCAGGGAGGCTAAGGCAGGAGAATCGCTTGAACCCGGGAGGCAGAGGTTGCAGTGAGTTGAGATCCTGCAACTGCACTCCAGCCTGGGAGACAGAATGAGACCCCATCTCAAAAAAAAAAAAAAAAAAAAAGGGGTTCCCATGAGCCCCCCCCCTGGGTTCAATTAAGTTCCTAGGATGGCTCACAGAACTCAGAGAAACATTTACAGAGCTGTTATGATATATATTGATTTTCATTGATGAACATTGATGCAAAAATCCTCAATAAAATACTGGCAAAACGAATCCAGCAGCACATCAAAAAGCTTATCCACCATGATCAAGTGGGCTTCATCCCTGGGATGCAAGGCTGGTTCAATATATGCAAATCAATAAATGTAATCCAGCATATAAACAGAACCAAAGACAAAAACCACATGATTATCTCAATGGATGCAGAAAAGGCCTTTGACAAAATTCAACAACCCTTCATGCTAAAAACTCTCAATAAGTTAGGTATTGATGGGACATATTTCAAAATAATAAGAGCTATCTATGACAAACCCACAGCCAATATCATACTGAATGGGCAAAAACTGGAAGCATTCCCTTTGAAAACTGGCACAAGACAGGGATGTCCTCTCTTACCACTCTTATTCAACACAGTAATGGAAGTTCTGGCCAGGGCAATCAGGCAGGAGAAGGAAATAAAGGGTATTCAATTAGGAAAAGAGGAAGTCAAATTGTCCCTGTTTGCAGAAGACATGATTGTATATCTAGAAAATCCCATTGTCTCAGCCCAAAATCTCCTTAAGCTGATGAGCAACTTCAGCAAAGTCTCAGGATACAAAATCAATGTACAAAAATCACAAGCATTCTTATACACCAACAACAAACAAACAGAGAGCCAAATCATGAGTGAATTCCCATTCACAATTGCTTCAAAGAGAATAAAATACCTAGGAATCCAACTTACAAGGGATGTGAAGGACCTCTTCAAGCAGAACTGCAAACCACTGCTCAAGGAAATAAAAGAGGATACAAACAAATGGAAGAACATTCCATGCTCATTGGTAGGAAGAATCAATCTCATGAAAAAGGCCATACTGCCCAAGGTAATTTACACATTCAATGCCATACCCATCAAGTTACCAATGACTTTCTTCACAGAATTGGAAAAAACTACTTTAAAGTTCATATGGAACCAAAAAAGAGCCCACATCACCAAGTCAATCCTAAGCCAAAACAACAACGCTGGAGGCATCACACTACCTGACTTCAAACTATACTACAAGGCTACAGTAACCAAAACAGCATGGTACTGGTACCAAAACAGATATATAGATCAATGGAACAGAACAGAGCCCTCAGAAATAACGCCACATATCTACAACTATCTGATCTTTGACAAACCTGAGAAAAACAAGCAATGGGGAAAGGATTCCCTATTTAATAAATGGTTCTGGGAAAACTGGCTAGCCATATGTAGAAAGCTGAAACTGGATCCCTTCCTTACACCTTATACAAAAATCAATTCAAGATGGATTAAAGACTTAAAAGTTCAACCTAAAACCATAAAAACCCTAGAAGAAAACCTAGGCATTACCATTCAGGACATAGGCATGGGCAAGGACTTCATGTCTAAAACACCAAAAGCAATGGCAACAAAAGACAAAATTGACAAATGGGATCTCATTAAACTAAAGAGCTTCTGCACAGCAAAAGAAACTACCATCAGAGTGAACAGGCAACCTACAAAATGGGAGAAAATTTTCACAACCTACTCTTCTGACAAAGGACAAATATCTAGAATCTACAATGAACTCAAACAAATTGACAAGAAAAAAACAAACAACCCCATCAAAAAGTGGGCAAAGGACATGAACAGACACTTCTCAAAAGAAGACATTTATGCAGCCAAAAAACACATGAAAAAATGCTCACCATCACTGGCCATCAGATAAATGCAAATCAAAACCACAATGAGATACCATCTCACACCAGTTAGAATGGCAATCATTAAAAAGTCAGGAAACAACAGGTACTGGAGAGGATGTGGAGAAATAGGAACACTTTTACACTGTTGGTGGGACTGTAAACTAGTTCAACCACTGTGGAAGTCAGTGTGGCAATTCCTCAGGGATCTAGAACTAGAAATACCATTTGACCCAGCCATCCCATTACTGGCTATATGCCCAAAGGACTATAAATCATGCTGCTATAAAGACACATGCATACGTATGTTTATTGTGGCATTATTCACAATAGCAAAGACTTGGAACCAACCCAAATGTCCAACAATGATAGACTGGATTAAGAAAATGTGGCACATATACACCATGGAATACTATGCAGCCATAAAAAATGATGAGTTCATGTCCTTTGTAGGGACATGGATGAAATTGGAAATCATCATTCTCAGCAAACTATCGCAAGAACAAAAAACCAAACACCGCATATTCTCACTCATAGGTGGGAATTGAACAATGAGAACACATGGACACAGGAAGGGGAACATCACATTCTGTGGACTGTTGTGGGGTGGGGGAGGGGGGAGGGATAGCATTGGGAGATATTCCTAATGCTAGATGACGAGTTAGTGGGTGCAGTGCACCAGCATGGCACATGTATACATATGTAACTAACCTGCACATTGTGCACATGTACCCTAAAACTTAAAGTATAATAATAATAATAAAAAAATACATCACCAAAAAAATAAAGAGGGCATTATAAAATGCCTCATGGAAAAAATATTATTTTAACAATTAGTAAAGTAAAATAAAAATTTGTGACTCATAAAGACACACTTCATTTTAATCCTCTATTTTTTTTTTTTACAAATGGGACTTGAATATTTTAAGATAAAATTTAAAAAATCAAGTAATTTTAATCAGAAATTTCAAAAAAATAAAACCCTGAATCCAATTCAAATTTCACTTACTTGGAAATTGTCACTGATATAAATTTATTTATATAAATGTGATATAACCAATAAAGATATGCAATAGAGTCATTGTTAATTTGGGTAAAAAAATTTTAAAAACAATGCAAACTTGTATTACCTCCATATGTATGTATGTACACATGTACACATATATGAATATTTATATATTTGCGTACACACACCATATATGTACCTGTGTATAAATGAATAACAATGGAATGTCAGTTGGCCTCTACTACAACATTTGAAGGCCCATTGCACAATGGCCAGAACAGAGACGACATCAGAATGCAACTTAAAATTTCCAAGATGACTTGAATTATATCTGAATTTCTAACAGGGCATAGAGAAATTAAAATCTTGTTTGATTATGCTTCTTTGCTTATTACTGGGAGAGCCTCACATGCAAAGCAGATCAGGATATTCTCTTACCAAATGTGTTAATTAACAGTCAGTTCATAATGTAAGGGTGACTCAAATAGCAGATTCAATATCAAACAGGAAGGGCTTTTGTAGCCCGTTCTATTTTCGGTCAACCACAAACCACCCACCCCTGCTGAAATAAAAACTTAAAAGGCAGGTGGAGGAAAATATGTTCTAGACCAAGGGGTAGGTTCCGGGTCTGCAAAAGACATAGTGTGCCACCCACAAACACACAACTTCAAGGAGCGTGGCTCAATCCTTCAGAAAATTGGTTCTAACTTTCAAATCATTAGGGATCTTCTTTATGAAAGATATAGCAAACAAAAACACAAAATATACCCCTCTAAGATTATTAGGAAGTTAAAAAAAAGTGACTTGTAACTTTTAATAAATAACTAGGGAGGTAAGCTTGTTCATTTCTGAGATTCACAACTTTTATAAAGGTGCTGTATTAATACTTGAATTGTGCTATGTTCAATAGAAGCAGAGACATAAGCCATACTGAGAGAAGAAAAAAATTTTACAACAAGAAAATCTAATGCTGTTTAATTTCTTTAAATATTTATTAATTTCTGAATGCTATGTGATTGCTTTTATATTAATTTTTCAGTAGGGAAAATGAATACAATTGAATACAATTTCTCAGTTGAGAAATTAAATACAATGGATTTTAGTGTGATGACATACTTGATGGGATAATTTTAAAATCATGATTTTAATTAGATATAATACTTTTAGGTAGAATAATAAAAATAAAGGAAAACCGATTTTCTTTAAATTCCGTCAATTATTTCTTTCTCACAATAATTAATATGTAATTTACCAATGATATAGTAGATTAATACCAAATTCTCTTACTTTTGGTTTCATCAAAAAATGATGAGCATTTTTCTCTGATTGATGTTCAGTTACTTTCAGATGGCTTGTAATCTTGTACTTTCAACATTAAAGATTTTTTTTCACATATTGATACCAATCATTTTATGATACATCTGATTTTATAATTATGTACATTGCTTTCAAATGAGAGTTATGGTTGTATACAGTAAGAATTATAATAGAGGAAGTTATCTGGGAAGTTATCTGGTGCTCCAGGAATTTAAATAAGAGAAGATATAAAGATCTCGGCCTTTGTATCAATATTTTAATTGGATCCTAAAAAGTGAATGAAGATAGACAGAAAACAAGTAAAAAATGGTCTAAGCAGATGGAATAGAAGGAGTAAAAGGAGAGTGATAGAAAAGTGTGTGTGTCTTTGAAGGAACATAACCTGTTCTGGGTGTGGCTACAGCACAGGTTTGTGAAGGAAAATGTTAAATGATTGAGGAGAATGTCTCTCAATATCAGTGATTTTGTATTTTACCCTTCAATGATGGGACATAAGTAAACAATTTTTAAAAGCATAGTGGGTGTGTGTGTATATAAATATATAGTATATATAGTATATAGCATGTCTATACTTATACTATATACATACATATAGTGTATATGCATATATGTATATATAGTATATATATATACTTATTTTCATTCTAGATAGAAGTTTTTGAGATGCAGTTAGAAGAAAAAGTCAGAAAGAATAGTCAAGATTATTCCAGCAGTACAGGCATGATGTGATGAATAACTAAATTAAAACATTAGCAGCAACACAGAAGAGAAATGGCAGAATAGAAAGGTAATTCAAGGTAGAAACAGCTGAACTTAATAATTCATTTAGAAGGAAGAGTCAAGGTATAAATACTCTAAATTTTCTTGGCGACTGGCTTGATATTATCATCATTAGCTGAGATGGGCAATGCTTTAAAAGAAATAGATTTATTTGCCAAAATATAAAATGTGTTTATGGCTATGTCAAATTTGAGATGCAGGTGGTGAAGACAGAGGGAGAGAATCAGTTGATATTTTAAAATATAGGTTTGAAACCTACAGGAAAATATTGGAGTAAAAAAAAATAAAGAAAATCAAACATCAAAGGAAATGCTGGAAGTGTGGGAATGGATAAAAGGAGCACAGGAAAAGTGTGCAGAGCATTGTTACCCAAAGTGCTGTGGGAATTTTATACACATATGAATACAACTCGCAAAACACACAAATATTTTTGCTTCCCTGGATCATTTACTGGAGTCTTTTACATACACATTCTGAAGTATAAGGTATGCAGAATTTTCTAAGCGTATCATACAATTCCATTCCAAGAATACATTTCAGGAAAACTATTGTCAATCAGGGAAACATTGGTGCAGAATAGTAAGAAAAGAAATACCCATTAAGACTAGTAGTTACACAGTGGACATGAAAAAACTAGGCAGCAAGGAGTTATTAAAAAGAAAGCATGGGCTGGGCATTGTGGCTCATGCCTATAATCCCAGCACTTTGGGAGGCCGAGGCGGGCGGATCACCTGAGGTTGGGAGTTTGAGACCAGCCTGACCAACATGAAGAAACCCCATCTCTAGTAAAAATACAAAATTAGCTGGGCATGGTGGCACATGCTTGTAATCGCAGCTACTCGGGAGGCTGAGGCAGGAGAGTCTCTTGAAACTGGGAGGCGGAGGTTGCAGTGAGCTGAGATCACACTGTTGCACTCCAGCCTGGGTGAAAAGAGGGAAACTTCATCTCAAAAAAAAAAGAAAAAAGAAAAAAATGAAAGCATGGGGCCAACATTGAGTGGTCTTAAGGAAGTCAAGGTAGAAGGAAATTTAAAGAAGGAAATGAGAAGCAATGCAGAATGTTTAGAAAGTCAATTAGGAAGCTCCCATAAATATTCTCACTATGTATTATAGGGAATTCATTTATAACTTCAAAAATACCACTCAAAAAAGATGGTAATTGTTGAAATGAGATTTCAATGGGTGAAAGAGGCTGGGCACAGTGGCTCATGCCTGTAATCCCAGCACTTTGGGAGGCCGAGGTGGATGGATCACGACGTCAGCAGTTCAAGACCAGCCTGGCCAAGATGTGAAACCCCATCTCTACTAAAAATACAAAAATTAAACTGGCATGGTGTTGGGCGCCTGTAACCTTAGCTACTTGGGAGGCTGAGGCAGGAGAATCGCTTGAACCCGGGAGGTGGAGGTCGCAGTGAGCCGAGATGATGCCACTGCACTCCAGCCTGGGTGACAGAGCAAGAGAAAGAAAAGAGAAAAGAAAAGAGAAGAGAAGAAAGAAAAGAACGACGGAAGGGATTTTAAAAAGAGATGAGAAGTCAGTATACTGTTTTGGAGGAAGTGTAGTTTATGATTTTGGCTATAACTTGCTATGAATGGAAACAGCAACACACCACTGGATTTCAACTTTTGAGTGCTTAAGAAGGTGGAGATGGTGATTAAAATAATAATAATAATAATAATAATAATAATAATAATAATAATGCTAAGTGTGTAATAGTTGCTAAGTGTGTGGTGTCTGAACCCAGGATATCAGGATGTCTGGAACTGGGATTGAATCCCAGCTCTTCCACTTTCTGGTTATGTGAGTGACTGTAGGCAAATTACTTAATCTTTTCATGCTCCAGTTTCCCATATGTAAAATGAGAATTATAATAGTAAACTACTTCATGGCTTGTGAGGATGAAGTGCATGTAGAGTACTTAGTGAGTTCTCTTTGTGTATTATGTATTAGTTTCAAAATGCAGATTCTAGAGCCCTTAGATTCTCATTCAATAGGTATGAGGCAAGCACGGGCCAGGATTCTGCATTCTTTAAGGAGGTGTAATTTCCTATATCTGCTGTGACAAAGTGGTTCACATTAGGTCGCTTAAAATGAGATAAAGTTATTCTTTTACGGTTCAGAAAGCTAGAAATCTTAAATGAAGGAGTTAGCAGTGCTGCATTTTTCTCTGAATGACCTGGAAAAAAATCCTTTCTTGCTTCTTCTAGCACCGGGTGATCACTGAGCTTCATTGTCATTGCTTGGCTGGAGGATACCTCACTTTATTCTCTACCTCCATCCTCACATTGCCATCTCCTCCCTGCGTCTCTGTTTCCTCTTCCCTTCTTATGAGGATATCAACCATATTGAATTATGGCCCACTCTAATGCATTATGAGCTCATCTAGCATATCATAATTATACAGCATCTGCAAATAATTTGATTTCAAATTAAGTCATACTCACAGACATCAGGGGCTAGAACTCTAATATATATATTTTCTTTTTGAAGACACAATCTAACCCACAAAAGGAGGGGAGCCGCTTAAGATCATAAATAACTCAAGTAACAAGACTGTGTGTTTAAAATAGCATTTAAATTTCTCCAAATGGCAGACAGCTTAATTCAGATCAATACCAATCAGGAGATAAACAAGTGTTTGTCTCCTAATTGGCATTTACCTGAGATTAAAACATTATGGTAAAATACATTATCTTCAGTGATCTTTGGTTTAGGTGAGCATTCACAAGGCACACAGTTATTATCACTTGAGCCATCTCTCTCTAATAACTATTTTCTAATCTGCTGGCCAACAATATCAGGTTCTTTCAAATCTCTGATTATCGGACCAAACCATAAGGCCCTCCACGTGATTTGGTAGAAATATTTTTTACAAAGCTAAATGAAATTTTATTTACTTGATGGATTTCTCTTCTCCTTTGTACAAAGGGGTGACCCTTTGACAGCACAGGGAAAGAACATGATAGAAATAGACTTTCAGAAGGAAGGGCCTTCCATAACAAGGAATGCCATCTGTAATCCAGACTTTTTTCTCCTCAGGAATCCAGTCATAGGCAAATCTCTATGAATCACAGATAAATAGAAAGAAGGGTGGGAGTGTGTCAGGAGTAGGATGCTGAAAATGTGAGTAGCCTGTTCATTAATTGGTCCCTTGGAAACTGAGAAGGCAACGTGGCATACATGCAATTTCCATGGAATGATGGAAGACTGGTTGTAGTTACTATGATCCTATAATGCTCAGATCACAACGGGGTCACCCTTATTCATGACTGAGCATTCCTTCTTATTAGTATCCCAATGTGAAATTGTTTCTCAAAAAAGGAGGGGGCGGGTAATTTTTGTACAAAAGGCTTTTACTCCAAAATAAAGTGGCTTGTACTGTATTTCTCCTCTGGAGCCTTGCCGCTGGCTCCATAGGAAAAGTCTGCCTCTCATAGATACCTGAGGCATTGGATTCCCTAAACAAAATTGTAGATCCACTTGTACTGCAGGCCTCTGTAGTCCAAAACGTTTCTCTTTCTCTGAGTCCCACTCACAGCTGACATCCTTCTTGACATTTGCATTTTATTTAGAATACACATCCAAATATGTTTTATGTTGCCTCTAACATTCAAAAGAGCCTGTAACAGTCTTCTTTCCCTATCCCTTCCTTCCATTTGAAAGATGTTTGCTCCACATCACTTTCTACTGCATTCTTAGACTCCCTGAAGGTAGGAAACCCACATTTTTGTCATTTGCTCGATGTGTCTTTCCTGAAGTCTATGGTAGCTGCTATTTTTCTCTAGAGCATATCAACCGGATGCTGTCCATGTATTCCATAAGTTATGTCCGTTTGGCTAGTGACATGGCCAGGGTTCCTGAGTACAAAATTGTGACACAGACAAAAATAGTTATACTTCTACAGCTAAATAGTGAAGACACTCTGCCTGGAAAAAGTAAGAAATTTCAGGTATTTACCATTTATTTAAGATACAGAAAAATAATTTGCCTAAATGTATAGCAGGAAAAGGAGATAAGTGTATTCACTAAAGCAAGGAGACTACATCTGGATTTTAAATGTGTGCCCTCAGATAGGATTCCAGTACACAGTGGCTGGATTCTGAGTGTTTGTCCCTCACACAGGATTACAGAACACTGCTACGAGGTTCTGAATGGAAAAGGAAATATCTTCACATAAAGACAAGAAAGAAGCATTCTGAGAAACTTCTTTGTGATGTGTGCATTCACCTCACAGAGTTGAACTTTTCTTTTGATTTAGCACTTTTGAAATACTCTTTTTGTAGTGTTTGCAAGTGGATATTTGGAGCGCTTTACATTCTATGGTGGAAAAGTAAATATCTTCACATCAAAACCAGACAGAAGCATTTTGAGAAACTCCTCTGTGATCTATGCATTCATCTCACAGAGTTATCTCACAGAGTTGAATGTTTCTCTTGATTGAGCAGTTTTGAAACACTGTTTTTGTAGAATCTGCAAGTGGATATTTTGAGTGCTTTGGGGCCTATGGTGGAAAAGGAAATATCTTCACATAAAAACTAGACAGAAACATTCTGAGAAACTTCTTTGTGATGTGTGCATTCAACTCACAGAGTTGAAATATTCTTTTGATTGAGCAGTTTTGAAACACTCTTTTTGTAGTATCTGCAAAGTTGGAGGACTTTGGGACCTCTAGAGGAAAGGGAAATATCTTCTCTTAAAAACTAGACAGAAGCATTCTGAGAAACTTCTTTGTGATGTGTGCATTCAACTCACAGAGTTGAAATATTCTTTTGATTGAGCAGTTTTGAAACACTCTTTTTGTAGTATCTGCAAAGTTGGAGGGCTTTGGGACCTCTAGAGGAAAGGGAAATATCTTCCCTTAAAAACTAGACAGAAGCATTCTGAGAAACCTCTTTGTGATGTGTGCATTCATCTCACAGAGCTGAACATTTCTTTTGATTGAGCAGCTTTGAAACACTCTTTTTGTAGAATCTGCAAGTGGACATTGGGAGCGATTTGAGGCCTATAGAGGAGAAGGAAACATCTTCACATAAAAACTACACAAATGCCTTCTGAGAAACTTCTTTGTGATGTGTGCATTCATCTCACAGAGCTGAACATTTCTTTTGATTGAGCAGCTTTGAAACACTCTTTTTGTAGAATCTGCAAGTGGACATTGGGAGCGATTTGAGGCCTATAGAGGAGAAGGAAACATCTTCACATAAAAACTACACAAATGCCTTCTGAGAAACTTCTTTGTGATGTGTGCATTCATCTCACAGAATTGAACCTTTCTTTTGATCGAACAGTTTTGAAACACTTCTTTTGAAGGATCTGCATGTGGATATTTGGATCAGTTTGGGGCCTGTGGTGGAAAAGGAAATATCTTCAAATAAAAACTACACAGAAGCGTTCTGAGAAAGTTCTTTGTGATGTGTGCATTCAACTCACATAGTTGAAGATTTCTTTTGATTGAGCAGTTTTGAAACAATCTTTTTGTAGTATTTGCAAGTGGATATTTGGAGTGGTTTGAGACCTATTGTAGAAGAGGAAATATCTTCACATAAATACTAGACAGAAGCATTCTGAGAAACTTCTCTGTGATGTGTGCATGTGTGCATTCATCTCACAGAGTTGAAACTTCTTTTGATTGAGCAGTTTGGAAACACTCTTTTAGTAGAAACTGCAAGGGGATATTTGGAGCGTTTTGTGGTCTATGGCAGAAAAGGCTATATCTTCACATAAAAATAGAAGCATTCTGAGGAACTTCCTGATGTGTGCATTAATCTCAAAGAGTTGAACGTTGCTTTTGATTGAGAAGTTTGGAAAAACACTTTTTGTAGAATCAGCAAGTAGATATTTGGAGAGATTTGAGGTCTATTGTGGAAAAGGAAATATCTTCACATAAAAACTACACAGAAGCATTCTGAGAAACTTCTTTGTGATTTGTGCATTCAACACACAGAGTTGAACCTTTCTTTTGATTGAGCAGTTTTGAAACACTCTTTTTGTAGAATCTGCATTTGGATATTTGCAGTGATTTGAAGCCTACGGTGGAAAAAGAAATGTCCTCATATAAAAACTAGACAGAAGCCTTCTGAGAAACTCCTTTGTGATGTGTGCATTCATGTCTCAGAGATGAACCTTTCTTTTGATTGAGCAGTTTTGAAACACTTTTTGTAGAATCTGCAAGTGGATATTTGGAGCGCTTTGTGGCCAATGGTGGTAAAAGGAAACATCTTCACATAAAAACTGGATGGAAGCATTCTGAGAACTTCTTTGTGATTTATGCATTCAGCTCACAGAGTTGAACCTTTCTTTTGATTGAGCCATTTGAAACACTCTTTTTGTACGATCTGCAAGTGGATAATTGGAGTGCTTTAAGGTCTACGGTGGAGAAGGAAATATCTTCACATAAAAACTACACAGAAGCATTCTGAGAAACTTCTTTGTGATTTGTGCATTCAACACACAGAGTTGAACCTTTCTTTTGATTGAGCAGTTTGAAACACTCTTTTTGTAAAATCTGCAAGTGGATATTTGGAACGCCTTAAGGTCTATGGTGGAGAAGGAAATATCTTCACATAAAAACTACACAGAAGCATTCTGAGAAACTTCTTTGTGATTTGTGCATTCAACACACAGAGTTGAACCTTTCTTTTGATTGAGCAGTTTGAAACACTCTTTTTGTAAAATCTGCAAGTGGATATTTGGAACGCCTTAAGGTCTATGGTGGAGAAGGAAATATCTTCACATAAAAACTGGACAGAAGCATTCTGAGAAACTACTTTGTGATGTGTGCATTCATCTCACAGAATTGAAACTTTCTTTTGATTGAGCAGATTTGAAGCACACTTTTTGTGGAATGAACAAGTGGATATTTTGAGGACTTCAAGTCCTATGGTGGAAACGGAAATATCTTCACCTAAAAACAACACAGAAGAAGTCTGAGTAAGTTCTTTCTGATGTGTGCATTCATCTCACAAAGTTGAACATTTCTTTGGATTCAGCAGTTTTGAAAAACACTTTTTGTAGTATCTGCAAGTGGATATTTGGAGCGCTTTGGGGCCTATGGTGGAAAGGGAAATATCTTCACCTAAAAACTACACAGAAGAATTCTGAGAAACTTCTTTGTGATGTGTGCATTCATCTCACAGAGTTGAACCTTTCTTTTCATTGAGCAGTTTTGAAACACTCTTTTTGTAGAATCTGTAAGGGGACATGCGGAGCTCTTTGAGGCCTGAGGTGGAAAAGGATATATCTTCACAAAAAAACTAGGTGGAAGCATTCTGACAAACCTATTTGCGATATGTGCATTCATCTCACAGAGTTGAACCTTACTTTTGATTAAGCAGTTCTGAAAAACCCTTTTGGTACTATCTGCAAATGGACATTTTGTGTGGTTTGAGGCCTACAGTGGAAAAGGAAATGTGTTCACATAAAAATTAGATAGAAGCATTCTGACAAATTACTTTGTGATGTATGCATTCATCTCACAGAGTTGATCATTTCTTTTGAGTGAATAGTTTGGAAGCTCTCCTTTTGTAGCATCTGCAAGTGGACATTTTGAGCGCTTTGAGGCCTATGGTGGAAAAGGAAATATCTTCCCATAAATATTAGACAGAAGCATTCTGACAAATTCTTTGTGATGTGTGCATTCATCTCAGAGAGTTGAACCTTTCCTTCGATTGTGTAGTTTTCAAACACTCTTTCTGTAACATCTGCAAGTGGACATTTGGAGTGATTTGAGGCCTAAGGTGAAAAATGAAATATCTTCACATAATAACTAGACAGAAGCATTCTGAGAAAGTTGTTTGTGATGTATGCATTAATCTCACAGAGTTGAACATTTCTTTTGATTGAGCAGCTTTGAAACACTCTTTTTGTAGAATCTGCAAGTGGACATTTGGAACACTTTGAGGCCTATGGTGGAAAAGGAAATATCTTCATAGAGAAGCTAGACAGAAATATTCTGAGAAATTTCTTTGTGATGTGGGCATTCATCTCACAGAGTTGAACTTTCTTTTGATTGAGCAGTTTTGAAACACTCTTTTTGTAGAATCTGCAAGTGGATATTTGGAGCGCTTTGCGGCATATGGTGGAAAAGGAAGTATCTTCACTTAAATACTAGACAGAAGAATTCTGACAAACTTCTTTGTGATGTGTGCATTCATCTCAGGGAATTGAACCTTACTTTTGATTGAGAAGTTTTGAAGCCCACTTTTTGTAGAATCTGCAAGTTGATATTTGGAGCACTTTTAGGCCTACGGTGGAAAAGGAAATATCCTCACATAAGAACTAGACAGAAGCATCCTGAGAAACTTCTTTGTGATGTTTTCATTCAACCCACAGAGTTGAATCTTACTTTTGGTTGAGCAGTTTGGAAACACTCTTTTTGTAGAATCTGCAAGTGGATAGTTGGAGTGCTTTTAGGCCTATGGTTGAAAAGGAAATATCTTCACATAAAAACTACTCGGAAGTGTTCTGAGAAACTTCTTTGTGATGTGTGCATTCACCTCACAGGGTTGAAACTTTCTTTTGATTGAGCAGTTTTGAAACACTCTTTTTCTAGTATCTGCAAAGTTGGAGGGCTTTTGGACCTCTAGAGGAAAGGGAAATATCTTCCCTTAAAAACTAGACAGAAGCATCCTGAGAAACTTCTTTGTGATGTTTTCATTCAACCCACAGAGTTGAATCTTACTTTTGGTTGAGCAGTTTGGAAACACTCTTTTTGTAGAATCTGCAAGTGGACATTTTGTTCGCTTTGAGGCCTATGGTGGAAAAGGAAATATCTTCACTTAAGAACTAGACAGAACATTCTGAGAAA